>NC_000010.11:13949393-14100909 GCF_000001405.40 Homo sapiens | reverse complement strand
AACACAGAGTTAAAACTGTATCTAACACTCAAAACTTCTAGTTCAGAGTTTTTCCACTAAAGTCATCAAATGATTGATTTTCCCTTAGATATTTACTTTTTCTGTAAATAGCTTTTCTAGAAAAGCTAAAAAGTATAGGAAGTAGGGTGGGGGAAATGAAATCCACCTAAAATCCTATCAATCAGAAATATATATATATATATGTTCTATTTTCAGCATGAAATAATCTTCAATAATCTTAACTTCAACAATCTTGAACAGATTGGCTTTTCTCATATTGATTCACTGTGCAGCTTATCCTAAGGCCGGCAAGTATATAAAATAAAATATCCCAGATCCTAGACTGTAACTGCATATGGAAAGGTTGACGTCTTTCATTTATTCAGACTTTTAAGGGGTCGGGGGGAAATAGGGTGGAAAAGTCATTTGAAACAGCTCTTCCTAAAAACCTCTCTAAGTTTCCCAGGACCCAAACCCAGCCTATCCTTGCAGATAATGATAGAATCATTATAATGATAGAGTAATTTGGAAATATTTTTCACCAGGAGTTTTTCTAGGTGTTTTTTTCCAAGCATCCAAGAGTCTCAAGCTCTGGCTGCCATCGAATATTTATAATGAATTCTTTGAAGCTCCAGCATGGATGCTACTTCAGATACAAAACTGATAGAAAATGGAGACGTTTCCTTTCACCACATGCGATAAGTGATTTTAAATTCATAAGTTCAGGTGAATCGAGACACTGGAAATCGAGACAGTGGAAATGAAGTTGACATAAAGGACAGAGCCAGCCAGGCACCACAACTGGGTTTGCTGAGCTGACTGCAAAACAAGGAGTGGATGAGCCGCCTGTCTGGCACGTGGGGGTGAAAACCAGAGATCTGTGCTGTACCCCAGTGTTTGTATAAATGGCAGGGACAGAGAACTGAGGAAAGAGACAGACAGGGAACGGAGGGAGAAGGTACTCGCTCAGAACCCAGGCCCTAAAGCCAGGTTGCCTTGGGTCAAACTAGGCTCCAGCTACTTGGTAAGCTGAGACTGGAAGATCACTTGAGCCCAAGAGTTTGAGGCCAGCCTGGACAACAGAGGGAGACCATGTCTCCAAAAGTAAAAAAGTTAAAAAGAAATTATCAGGCTCCATCATTTTATAAGTTATTTAATCTCTCTAAGTAGTAGATATAAAAGGGACCATTAAAAATTACACCACTCTTTTGAAAATTTATTAAGTAAATACAGCTGACCCTTGCACAACATGGATTTGAACTACACAGGTCCACTTACACATGCTTTTTTTTATCAACCAAAATGAGGATCAAAAATATCATATTCACGGGTTGTGAAACCTACATATAAACAGGGCCAACTTTCGTATAGGAGTTCTGCAGGGCTGATTGTAGGAGTTGGGCATGCCTGGATTTGGACATAGGCAGGGGTTCTGGAATAAGTCCTCTCCATACCCCGAGGGATGGCTATGCACGTACACACTTAAAGCAGGATTTGCCACATAGTGTTTGAGAAGTCATAGCTATTCTGATCGTAATTATCTTGGAAGTTTTCTGATTTTTTTTTCTCTTCTGTCTCTCATCTCTTTTCTAACTCTGCCCTATAAATTGAGACTATATTGAGCGTTTTACTGTACATATTAGGAAGAGGTCATTGGAATTATATCAGGACTAGGAGTAAAAGGAAAGCTGAACCATGGGTATGGGCTTAGGCCAAATGTCAGGCCTGAGTGTGACAATGATGGAGTCTGAGGCTTGACCGAGGTGGAGGGAGGCCTATATACCTGGATGTCCTCAAAAACCGGATCTAAGAAAGGGCATAGAATTCCCCAAGGCAAACACAAACAGCTTCCATTTCCTGAATCCTGTGTGCTAAGTGGAGTGCTCCTGGGATTTCACTGGATGCTCTCAACAATGCATGTTTTCAGATGAAGAACAGAAGGCTTAGGAAAGCTACACAGGTAGTCCAAGGTCCTACCACTGAAAAGCGGCAGAGCTGGAGTTCCAATCCAGGTTCCATTGACTCCAAAGTTCATATGCACGCCCGCTATGTTGTACTGTGCCAGGAAAGCAGGACAGGTCGGGTCCATGGTGTGAGCGAAGGTCTCAGACCTTGTGACCATTGAACAAAGTTGTCCACATGGGTGCTAGGGAGGCACTAGGGTAAGAGACTAGATTGGGGGGTTCTTGAGAACCATATTCAGGCTGGGCGCGGTGGCTCACACCTGTAATCCCAGCACTTTGGGAGGTCGAGGCGGGCGGATCACGGGGTCAGGAGATTGAGACCATCCTGGCCAACACGCTGAAACCACGTCTCTACTAAAACAAAAATACAAAAAATTAGCCGGGCATGCTGGCAGGCACCTGCAGTCCCAGCTACTCGGGAGGCTGAGGCAGGAGAATGGCGTGAACCCGGGAAGCGGAGCTTGCAGTGAGCCAAGATCGTGCCAGTGCACTCCAGCCTGGGTGACAGAGCGAGACTCTGTTTCAAAAAAAAAAAGAAAAGAAAGAAAAAAAGAGAGAACCATATTCAGAAGTATTTCCTTTATCAGTCAAGGAAATGTTGAGAAATGTTGCGTTGAGAATATTGGAGAGAATGATATGATCTGCATTTTAGAACCACAACTGTAATGGAAATGTACAGGAATGGATTTACTAGAGCAGAGACAGGAATTAGGGGTGACCAGTTTGAAGGCTGCCACAATAATCCAGTGAGAGTATTCTAGACTTGGAAAATAAATTATATATAATATGTATAATTTTTATATATAATATATAATTTTTATATAATATATATAAATTATATATAATCTATAATTTATATAATATATAATTTATATATAATCTATAATTTATATAATAAATAATTTATATATAATCTATAATTTATATAATATATAATTTATATATAATCTATAATTTATATAATATATAATTTGTATATAATATATATAATTTGTATATAATATATGTAATATACAATTTTTATATATAATTTATATTTTATATAATGCATATTGTAAATTATATAATCTATAATTTATAAATTATTATTGACATATACGTGTTCAAGAAGTCATAGCTATTCTTATCATAATTATCTTGGAAGTTTTCTGATTTTTTCTCTTTTATCTCTCATCTATTTGCTAACTCTGCCCTATAAATTTAGACCAGAATGAGTGTTTTACTGGACACCCTAAAATATATAAAACTAAAACTAGTTTATATATAAACTAAAACTAACTAGTATATATAAAACTAAATACCTAAGACATAATATATCTATAAGTATAATAATTAAGAGCACTAAATTTGGAATCCAACAGTCCAAAGTTTCCGTCTCAGTTCTGTCCTATGTTAGCTGTTGAACCTTGGGCAATTCCGTTTCCTCCTCGGTAAGGCAGACAGGTAAGATTATCTTAAAGAACATTGTGAAAATTAAGATTAAAAGATGATTCACTTAAAAGCATTTAGTACAGTTGCCTAGAACGTAGTTAGTGCTCAGGAAATATGAGCTACTTTATTATCATCACAATAATTATTATTTCTTACTTCCTTAATCCTTCCTGTTAGCCAGAGAACAAAAGTCTGCAATCAGAATGAATTTTTTAAAACTTCACTGTGACTCATTTAAGCAATTAAAATTTTTCAAAAATTCTATTTCTAAAATTTACTATAGATAGAGAATCCATAGCATATATGCCAGGATGTCTTCCACAAATGACACCTTTTCTTTTCTTTTCTTTTTTTTTTTTTTTTTTTTTTTTTTGAGATGGAGTCTCACTGTGTCGTGCAGGCTGGAGGGCAATGGTGCCATCTTGGATCACTGCAATCTCCAATCTCTGCTTCCCGGGTTCAAGCGATTCTCCTGCTTCATCCTCCTGAGTAGCTGGGGTTGCAGGTGCCCACCACCACCCCCGTCTAATTTTTGTATTTTTAGCGGGGATGGGGTTTCACCATGTTGGCTAGGCTGGTCTTGAACTCCTGACCTCAGGTGATCTGCCTGCCTTGGCCTCCCAAAGTGCTGGGATTACAGGCATGAGCCACCGCACCCGGCCTGCTTTTTTTGTTCTTTAGTGAATGAATAAGATGTAATGCAGCTAAACATAATGTAGGTGGGAAAGAATGCATTGTTGTAATGTTCCCATTTCACTGCTTCTGTAGCTCATGCTCAGGTGTCTCTCCTGAGTCATCAACTCCTGCAGAGCAGAGTTCAGATCTGCCCACTTATTTTCATGGCCAAGCAAAGTGAGTCCCCTGCAAAATTAGCTGCTTCAACCTTTCCCTCTTTAGGTGATTTATGTTTTGTAACTTTGGGGTGAA
Source organism: Homo sapiens (assembly GCF_000001405.40). Classification (NCBI taxonomy): domain Eukaryota; kingdom Metazoa; phylum Chordata; class Mammalia; order Primates; family Hominidae; genus Homo; species Homo sapiens. Next base: position 14,096,587 of record NC_000010.11, on the reverse strand, counting down.
TTATCTAATATTGAAAAACTTACTTATTTGCAGAGTTGGGTTAAGAAGTAATTATTTGCCCCAAAGTTGCCTAGATTTCTGTTAGGAACTCACATCTGAGCTCCCTACATCGAGTGGGATTTTGAGATCAGAAGTCTCTCTCCATAACTGTTGCCAGGGAAAGAAGTCAATTCAGCAGGTGGCTTAGTCAGTTCAGGCTGCTATAACAAAATATCTTGGATTGGGTAGTTTATAAGCAACAGAAATTGATCGCTCACAGTTTTGGAGGCTGGGAAGTTCAAGATCAAGGCAACAGCAGATCTGGTGTCTGGTGAGGGCCCGTTTCTCACAGATTGTCCCTTCTATGTGCCCTCACATGACAGAAGGGACAAACAGGTTCCCTCCAGCCTGTTTTATAAGGACACTAATCCCATTCGTGAAGATTCCACTTTCATGATCTAATCAGCCCCGAAAGTCTCACTTCTTAATACCCACGTGTTGGGAATTAGATTTCAACATATGAATTTTGGAGGGGAACAACCTGATCACAGCAGAAGGCTTGGTGCCTTTTTTTCCCCAAGAACAGGATGGCGAGGGTTATTTTTACAGCCTCTCACAACTGGGCACATATGATCCAAATTCAGAGCATTACTGTAGCATTCCAGTTTTCCACTTGCGCTCCTTATGTCTTCCTGTTCATCTTCTGGTTTTATTGATTCGTGGACAGTGAGTGCTCTGGCCATTTCTATTGGTGTGGACTTGCCCTGGAAAGGGACTCCCACCCTCTGGAAGAGGCCTCAGCATGATTAAACTCTGGAGAAGTGGGTCGTGTTTTGGAAAGCATGTTAGCTATGCTTATTTATATGCCACATCATATATGGGCTAAAACCAGCACATGTGGTCTTTGTTTCATTGCTTCCTATTGAACGTGGATTCGATCCAGCGTGCTGGAGAGGAATGATGATTTTGGAGAAATGGATGCAGTGAGCAACACTGGCCCACAGGCTGCAAAGTGCTAAGGTTGAGAGTGCGTTTAGAAGTGCGTATGTAAAATAATTCAAACTGCAGTATCCCGGCGAGGTGCTTCGGCTCTTTATGCATTGTTATATTAATAGCTTATGTCCCCACGGATAGTTCAAGCCTTCCAATTCAATCGACAACTGTAAATTACAATAAAAATGGCATCAAATCAGTGAGTGGCCCAGTGCCAAGTGACAGTGCCATTTTTGCAATGGGGCACATCTATTCTGAGCATGAAAGTGATGGCTAGCAGGAAGCACCCAGGCAGTCCCATGCAGAATCTTTTAAAACTTGAACTCGTTCCTGGGGAGAGAAACATTTACTCTGAAGAGCTGGTGGGGAGAAGTGTCATGAGCTGAATGGCCAGTGGTCTCCTGAGTGAAAAAAATAAATCTTAGAGTTTTATTTCGGCCTCATTTAGTTATTAAAATCATTGGTTTCTTTGTCTTGGTTTCCCCTTAACTATCACAGCGTTAAAACTCACCCTTCAGAGTCAATTCACATCAATAAGAGACTCAAAATCTTCAGTTCCTTCATGTTCATACACACACATGCACATGTGTACACACACACAGATATACATCCATGCATATGGATGTATGGATCTCTTGGTTCCCCCCCACACTCTTGGTTGACACACACCCACATACATACACATGGGCACACACAAGCATACACATTCATACACAGGCATAGATATACATACATGCACATATGTCCACACATGCACACTTGGCATGCATACACACACATGGGCCAATGGCAGTAGCCACTGCAAATCTTCAGTGCATCTTTCTGGGGGGCTGCAGAGGTATTAATTACACCTCTAACCTGAGCAATCTACTTCTCCAGCTCTTGCAAAGAACCTGGACAGAACAGAGTCACCAAAGATCACTCTTGCCAACTGCATGCCCAATAGAGAGAGGCAAGGTGGTTTCTGAAGCAGACAGGATTTTTCCAGCAGGGCCACATGGAGCCATGCAGGGCTCACTGAATCAGTACCATGCCCACCTCTCTCTTGCAGTTTTCTGTTTGGGTGTTGGAGGAACAGCATGGGTGACCCTGGGTAGAAGCTGCTCTGCGTTTGAAAGGAGACTACAGCCTTTGCATTCACAGTGAGAGGAGACTGGCCCACACCAGGGTTGGGAAGCAGGATAGCAGGATAGCGGCACATCATTACATTTCCATTCTAATTACCACTTGCTTCAGTTCTGTGATCGTCCCCCAGGGGGTCTCGTTAACACGGTTTTGATGCCTTCCATGTTGACTGGGGCTCCTGCACAGGCCTCATCATTCCACGCACCCTTTCTCTATACCAAGCCCTTAACATCTGCCCAGGATGGGCAACGCGCCATGTCGTCTGGCATTTGGGTTCAACCGAAGGGGAATCAAAGGGAACAGTCCTTGGTTCTTTTGAACCAGACTGTCAGATCAGAAGCCCAGAGCTGTCAGAAGTTGCTCACCTGAGCTGCTCCTTCCAGAAGCTTCCCCCGGGCAGGGGCTTTGTTAATGTGTTCTGCTCTGATGGGTCGAATTTCATTGTCCTTGCCACGGCCTTTTCGGCAAAAGCCTCCATCCTCCTGCTCCATTATCATTTGACAAGGCAAGTCACTGGTGAAAGCTGTTGTCTTTTAAAAAAGCATCTTCTTCCCAGCTATGGTTTCTTTCCCAGATAAATTCACTAGGTGGCAGTGAACAGTGAGGGAAAGAGGGCTGCTTTTGAAAAGAAATTCAAAGGCAAGCAGAATTAAACATTCTAGGATATCTAATTGTGGGTCGTAAACTTCCTTCTAAGAGTCATGGGCTGTGACATTTGTAACTAATAAGAGACAAACTGCAGCTTTAAGCAGGATATCTAGTCTCTATTAAATGATGAAATGCCATCTGCTCTTAGCACTCTGCTGATAATTTTATTCATAATATGGTTGAAATCAAAGACATTTGTTTATTGTCCATAAACATATTTTCTTTGCAGAAAATAGTGCATACAAGCAGGTCCCACTCATCCCGTCAAAGCCTTTATTATGTATGAGTGGGTGTGAGCATTGTGAGTGTGTGTTTTCTTTAGATGGCAAGTGAACCTCATGATTATGTCAAGGATTTAAGTGTCATTATTCTTTGATTAATTTCTCCATATAACCACCATCTCCCTTTCTCAACCAGGAAGAACCCTTTTTCTTCCTTTTAAACTCAATGTTTTCCTAGCAGGTAAAGCCTAGGATCCTATATTACTTCTGCTTTGGGAAGACTCTAAAATTTCGAATTTATTAAAAGACACTAAAATCTTAGTGCACACACTTCCAATTAGTTTATTTATGTGCTGCCTGGTTTTTAACCTAAATGCACTTTGTTCAGAGGGGAAGAAAACAATCATAAATAAACTGAAAAGTCAGTTTCCAGAAACTGCTGAGCCGTGCAGGCAGCCTGCAAATACCCACCTTGCTGGGATCAGGAAGGCAGGCACAGTCATTCCACGGCCTCTGTACCTCCCCTCTCTCATGTGATCCCCGTCCGTGCCCCCTACCCTGGCCTTGGCCTTGGATCCTTAGCAGAAGTGATGCAGGGAGCTCTAGTTCCAGCTGAATGCTCTTGGGCACAGCAGCATCACTGGGCCAATCATATTGACTTTACACTTCAGTCCTCATGACTGGACTGCTCCGCATTCCTGGCTGTTTCTCTATACCTAGGTCTCTGCTGTCCCCTAGGCCTGAGTCCCATTCTGGAGAGCAGTTGACCTCATCTAGTCCTATCTTGCTGTGGCCAGAGTCTCCAAGGCCTAAAGTCCCACCTTTATATCCCAGCCTGGTCCCGAGACCCACCTATTTGATGACAGACTCCCTCCTCGAGTGCCAGCCACATGCCTGTGAATTGCTGAGTATCACCATCTCCAGGGCCCCAATAGTGTCCTCCACTAAGTGGGTCACCACGATGTATCCCTTCGATGAGGATCACCCCTGCAAACTCCAGCTTTCTCTGATGTCTATACTCAATGAACACTGATGGAAGGTTACTATGTGCTAGACTCCGAGCTGGGCACTGAAGACACAGTGGAAGTAAGACACAGTCCCTGACATCAGAGGGATTACAGCTACCTCCAGTTTCTCATTTTGCCCTTGTGTGTTCTCCCAAGGCCAGCAACAGAGTCCATTCCCAGCCCTGCCTCACTGGGCTCCCAGTCGGCCCAGTCCTGTTGCAACCAACTGTCCTGGCTATGCCTGGCTGTGCCTGAAGACACCAGAGTGTGCAGCTCAATTTGGAGTGAAATGCTTTCAATCACTGTCCATAGGCAGGTTGATGCTGCCTTTATTCAATAGGAGAATAGAACCCGAGTGCTGAGTATTTACCCGGTCACTGTCTGTTGGGTTCTACGTGGTCAGGTGCCCCTAGTAGCCGGTTCAGTATGGGAGCAGACCTAAGAAACCTGCCTGACTCGGAGTGTGAAGCTTGGGACCACTCAAGCCCCACCTGGTTAACTTGCTGTAAGAGAGATTTGAGTCGGGGTAGAAAATGACCTTGCCTTAGCTTCAATCATGTCATCCAGAGCTGTGAGGTGGGGTTCAGGGGAATAGAAACTGTCCCTTGCTAAGAAGACACAATCATCTGAGGCCAAGTTTCTATATGTAGTGGACAGTTGTATTTTCCAGAATGGCTGTGCTTGTAATAATATGTTCATTTCCTTGAAAGGAGTAACCTAAGTTGTTAAGAACATGGGTGATTCCAGTTGGAGACTTAAAGATACATTTAATAAATCACATCATATACTAACTGAAAAGTAAATAAGTGCCAAGCTTCTATTGGTTTCCTCATTTCCCTGAGGCAGACAGGGAAAAATACCCAAGTAAGAAAACTAAGAATGGGCCAGGCACGGTGGCTCACGCCTGTAATCCCAGCACTTTGGGAGGCCAAGGTGGGCGGATCATGAGGTCAAGAGATCGAGACCATCCTGGTCAACATGGTGAAACCCCATCTCTACTAAAAGTTCAAATAATTAGCTGGGCATGGTGGCCCATGCCTGTAGTCCCAGCTACTCAGGAGGCTGAGGCAGAAGGATCGCTTAAACCCGGGAGGCGGAGGTTGCAGTGAGCTGAGATCACACCACTGCAGTCCAGCCTGGTGACAGAGTGGGACTCCGTCTCAAAACAACAACAAAACAAAACAAAACCAAAAAACTAAGAATGGAAATGTCAGTTCAGGAAAAGACACTCTTTAAAAAAAACCTTTATACACACAGCGCAATTTTTTCCTGCAGCTATTTTCTCCAAATTTGAGTTCTAGTGGTGTGTTGGATTTGTTTGCCTTTTTTTTAATGCCATGTGAGAGATACCTTTACTGCTGTACAGATGCACAGACACACAACATCTGATTGCTTTTTATTGTGCTTTTAAAAGATAAAAATCACTTAAGAAATTAAGTGAATTTTGTGGAAAGCTAGGAGTTCTCTTTTAAGAAGATTTTTAGGAATCTGAACATTCTTCCATCTCTTTTCTTGAAATCCTGTTCATGGCTTGCAGTTATAATAGGTCTGGTGTCATTCTAATGTTTTGCTGGTCTATGCTGTCAGGGACCTGGGATAGTGACTAGGTAATATTTCACAAGGCAGTCAAATGTTAGTTTGAGCTGGGCGTGGTGGTGTGTGCCTATGGTCCCGGCTACTCAGGAGGCTGAGGCAGGAGGATCACTTGTGCCCAGGAGTTTGAGTCCAGCCTGAGCATAGTGAAACCCTGTCCCTTAAAAAATAAAAACAAACATAAAATTAAATTTTCAAATGTTAGTCTGGGTACTTCATTTGTGTACTTCTCTTTAATGAAACCTGAAGCTCATGAATTTATATCCACGGCAGAAAGATTTGTTGCAAAATACTGAACCCATGCTAGGAAGTATACTTGACGCAGTTCATAAAGTTAGAAATAAACAGAAAATTACAAGTAGTACCCAGGCCTCATTGCTGTATGGTTCCAACGTTAACTGAGAACCCCCACTCTCTGGGCAATCGATGAAGGCTTTAGCATGGAGCGGCTGGGGGGATGCTGCCTGGCTCTAACCCAACCCCGTGCTCCTTCACCTGTGTCTGCATTTCCTTCCTGTGCTTCACTCAGGTGCCTGCAAAGTGCTGTTTCCATGATGCCCACGGGCTGGTTGACTGTCGTGTCCCCAGGCTCTTGTCCTGCAGCTCTGCAGTGCCCGGTCCTTTTACAGCGTCTGCCTTGACTGTACTACATTTACCAATTACGCTCCTAATCATCCTCCCACTTCTCTTCCTGTTTCCAAGTCCTAGCTCTCACATCTGTGTGGCACAGATCTACATGAAGTATTATGACTTCTGTGTACCCTGTGAATACCACGTATATTCTCTCCCGTGCAGCGGTCGGCCTGCAGCCCTCCAGGACCTCAGGCAAGAGCAAGAGTGTCTCCAAGTGCCACCCCGAAGACTCTTGTTCCGTTCCTCCTCAGAAGGCTTTTCCCTTACGGTTATTTCTAGATCCCTGCTATAAATATTCTCCCAGCAGCCATCTGCCCCTGCGGCAGAGTTTTACTATTTCAGCATGCTGTTTGGGTTACACACTCAGAGTGCTGCCATCCATTCTAGAGTTCTCCTCTCTTCTAGAGAATATCGGCCCTGCTCTGTCAGGGTAGAGCAAGATCTATTTTATTTTCCTGAAAAAATCTGTACAATATATACGAAGCAATCAGGAACTTGTGGGCCCATGAGGTTCAATCCGTGGGTTTATAAAGAGGACAGAGGAAACAAAACACGGTTTGGAAACTACCTGGACATTGGCACTGTGTGCCCCGGCCCCACAAAGCTGGACCAGTCCCATCTGATAACTCCACACTGTTGGTGATGGCGTCTCTCTACGGGCCGGGGAGGTATTTTCCCACAAGCGAAAATTTTCCAGGGAAACTACAGTCTGGTTCTTTTATTTCTTTCTTCTGTTTTTTTTTTGTTTGTTTTTTTTTGTTTTTTTTTTTGCTTGAAAAGGTGAACTTTTTTCAATCCACAATAAATAAGGTGTTTCAGGGCCAAGCCCCTAATGAGATAATCACTGCAAAAGCTGCCACCAAAACCAGCATGTTTGAAAATTTACTGAAAACATAGAACGGGCTGGCCCTGTGCCCAGCATGCTGCGGGGAGGGCGGGGGAGAGGGCTTTGTTTTCCCCAGAGCAGGTGACAATGCAGACTTGGGCCAGCCCGTCCTCTCTGGGAACCGTGGTGATAAGTGGCTTCATGCACTGCGGGGCTGGTGGGCTGGGCCCCAGCGGGGGAAACAAGGAATAAGGCATGGGAAGTCAGCCAACGGTGGTCACGCTGGGCACTCTTCTCTCCCCACGGAAACTCAACCTCCAGAGAGAACCAGCGCCAGGGGCCTGTGGGAAAACAGGTACAGTCAGAAGGAGGCTTTGGTAACATTAGCTGGGAAAGTCAATGGACTTCAAGCGCTGGGAAACTCCATCGACTTTCCCAGCTGATTTTATCATCACTGGGCCAACTCCATGGGCTTCCTCCTCAATGAGGACTCATCTTCCAGGCTCTGCTCAGCAGCCCCCATCCCACCCCTGCGCTTATCTTCGCCCCTTCTGGGTAAGCTAGCATCAGGCTTATTATTACAGGCAGCTGGAGAACTGACAAGCACACAGCCTCCAGCCACACCCCTGGTCCCCGCCCCTGCTCCTCCACACCTTAGCTGTGTGAGCCCCGACCGTGACTGCCTCTTTATGGACCTCTAGTCCCTCCTGGGGAAAACAGTGTGAACCCAGGATTTGAGTGGAAGTGATTATTTTACTTTTTTTTTTTTTTTTTTTTGAGACAGAGTCTTGCTCTGTCCCCCAGGCTGGAGTGCAGTGGCGTGATCTTGGCTCGCGGCAAGCTCCGCCTCCTGGGTTCATGCAAGCTCCCAGGTTCATGGCATTCTCCTGCCTCAGCCTCCCAAGTACCTGGGACCACAGGCATGCGCCATCACGTCCGGCTAGTTTTTGCATTTTTTGGTAGAAATGGGGTTTTGCCGTGTAGGCCAGGCTTGTCTTGACCCCTTGACCTTAGGTGATCCACCAGCCTCAGCCTCCCAAAGTTCTAGGATTAGGGATTACAGGCTTGAGCCACTGTGCCTGGCCTGATTCGTCGTTCCTTTTTTTTTTTTTTTCTTTTAGGAAGAGTCTTGTTCTGTCACCCAGGCTGGAGCAGAGGCACAATCATGGCTCATTGCAGCTTCGGCCGCCCACGCTCAGGCAGTCCTCCCAACTTAGCCTCCTGAGTAGTTAGGACCACTGATGCACACCACCACAGCCCGCTAAATGTCGTTTTTTAAATAGAGACAGGGTTTCGTCATGTTGCCCAGGCTGGTCTCAGATCCCTGGAATCAAGCGTTCCTCTTACCTCAGCCTCCCAGAGTGCTGGGATTTCAGGCCTGTAATTCTCTTTTTCTGTTTTCTCAGCCACATCTCCTCAAAACAGCCCTATTTTCTTCCCCCTTTTTACAGATAAGGATATTAATATAAGAAAAAGGCAAATAAATTAGCATCCTACATTCCTAAGTAAAGTAGGCTCTGTTAGTTTCTGCTCTCCTTCCAGATACCAAGGTGACTTTATAAACATAAAGGAATCCAATTCCTCCTGTGAATGACAAACAACCCCCGATAATAATTTGCTTTTTAGTATCCAGCAGAAGCCGCTGCAACATGACCCTTCAAAAGCAATCCTCTCAGTCTCCTTTTGTTTCCCCTTCTGTTTTAATAATGGAGTGCACACGGCACTGTTGTTTAGATTAATTACTGATTGTAAGTTACTCTGAAATCCGTGCTGCCGACAGGCTGTTGAAATCATAGCCATCTTCTGAGTCGGGCTTTATGACATCACCTGAAATAGATGTTCACATTTCGTTCCTGTTTCTCACAAAGGTAAACTGACATCAATGTGTCAGGGCTGATGTTTGTTCCAGTTCTTCAACTCAGAAGGCTGGGTTTCCACTCTCATCCCACCAGGAGCCAGGGCACTAATGAAGTCATTTCACCTGCCAGTCTGAGCACCTCAGCCGCACACACTGGCTCTGTGGGTCTGAGATGAAAAGTGTGGAAGCGCTTGAGAAAAACAAAAACAATAATAATCATAGCTAATGTTTACTTAGTGCTTCTGTGCCAGAAAATATACAAAGTACTTTACCTGTGTATCTTCCTTCTCAACCCAATGCTTGGAATTAAATAGAATTAATATATATTTTATAATTCTATAAATATAATTTTATAATATATAAATATAATTTATATATTATAAAGTTAATATATAATTTATAATTTTATAGATATATAACACATATATTAATTAATTTATAATTTTATAAATATAATTTTTATATTATATAATTAATATATAATTTATAATCCTATAAGTGTATAAATATAATTTATGTAGTATATAATTAACATATAATTTATAATTCTATAAATCAGAGGCTGTGCCCACACACACCAAACCACATGCCCACCCCCCGCAACCAGGGTAGCCAGCTGGTTCCAATTTGCCCTGGCAGTTTCCAGTGTTCATACCCCAATTCCCAAGTCCCAGGAACCCTCTCTCAATGCTGGGCAAATCGGGATGTTTGGTTGTCAATACACACCCCCTACCACTAGCATAAGGCACCATATAATCCCAGAATTCCAGATGTGGGGAGAACCTCCAAGACATCCCCCTCAAAATCAGGAAGCTGAGCTCCAGAGCAGCAAAATCGTTTCTCCAACTCCCTGCTGTTAGTGGCAGAGCCAGAGCTCTGAATCTCCCAGAATCAGACAGAAGACCAAGAATGAGTCCGCTCAGTGGTGTCTGTTTATGTTATGGTGATCACTCATCATTCTAAAACAATAACAAAAAAAACCCATACATTATATAAGTAAGCTCTCATAAGAGATTGAGTCATAAAAGGTTTTCAAGATAGGCTTTCTTTGGGATGTTAAACCGTACCCTGGTTAAGGAGGGCAGTAAAAATGGCAATATAGTCATTGTTGGAAAGAGCCGTTACCTTTTGCACTGGAGATGAGAAGAGTTTATGATAAAATACTTTTTAATTAAACTTGATTATCCCCAATTCTGTTAGTGGGAAATAATCCTATGTTCCACTTACCAAGCATAAGATGCAAATTATAAAAAATAAGCTATGAAGATTTTTTTACATAATTTTTTTCTAACACTTCTTAGAACGCATGAAAATCCAATCAAATCTTTTATATCAACAAACTTGATTTCAACATTAGTGAACCTGAGGCTCAGAGCTGAATTCTCAAAATTAATTACATGTTCAGTCTACGGAAGGCATACAAGTGGGCTTGTACATTTGAAAGATTTTTTTTATTACCAGGGTAGAAACCTCAATAAGCTTTCTGTTTAGCCTTTAGTTAAACAGATAATTAAATTAATCAGCATAGCCCCTTCTCCATTCTATCTAATTAGTTTTACTTCTTTGGAGATAACTGGAAAAATACACTACTTTCATTTATTTTATATGTGTGTTACATGTGTACATTAACTAAAGAAATACATATCTAGGGTGGAAGTATATGCCTTTAGATAGGAAACAGTGCTCTGAAAAGACCTCGGCATAAAATATTTACTGGCGCTCGTATTAAAGTGGAAGACAGAGGATTTTGCAAAAAAATAAAAGGGAAAATTTGGCTGCTTTACTAATCAGAATGCCAGAACCCATATATGCCTGCCGCAGTCCAGAAAAAAGGTGCAGATTCTCAAAGCTGTGAAATACATTGATCATTTTTCCTGCTGAAATGAACAGTAATGCAGATCCCTCCAAGTTCATGAATTACATTTGGGACCAGGCAGATGGTCCAGCCCCAAAATCGTGACTCCACCAGTTTCACAGAGAGGAGGTTTCCACAGGACAGCGAGCGCAAATGAAGATGGGAAGATAGTTGCCATTTTGCTCTGTGTTCCACAGGCTGAGCTCTCTGGCGCATGGTGGCCTCTCACATGGGAGGCAGGCTCTGTCCCCAGCATCCCCATGGGCTTTGAGTTGAAAGGCAAGCCCTCTGAAAGCAAGCTTCTGAGACCCGTTCCGTCTCTTTCTGATGAGAATGCGTCCTCCCTGCAAAGTGTCAGAGCCTCATCCAGGGGCTGTGGAGTGACAGTACCAAAGCTGTGGATTGGGGAGAGAAGAACTGCTGAAAAGCTACTATTTTTGCAGTATTAACTGAAAGCCAACGTCCTGCTGGGTTCTTTACATCCATCGGCTCGTGGAAACCCTGCAACCACGTGAGGTGCGCATCTGCCGTGGCATTTTCAGATGACAAAGCTGGGACTTAAGGGAATAACCTGCGCAAGGCCACACAGTTAAGTAAACAGGAGTCAGGAGTCAGTTGTGCGTCTTCATCTCCAAACATCCCTAGACATAACCATGCGTCTACGATGGCACAAGAAAACTACTTTGCATGAAAGTTTCCAGAGCATGTGATGAACACTTCTTGATTTATAAACAGATGGAGGTGGGATTCCCTTTGTAAGAATTAGAAGAATGTATTGTGGTTTTCAGTAAGGAGGTGATTCAGAGCGTACCCGAGGGGTTTGTTTTTATTCAGGTGTGGCAAGGTCAACAGATCAGGGGATCATTACCATTGAAAAAATAGTTTGTTATTGACAATTCCCAAGAGTAGGAGACAAGCCACGCCACACAGGGCCATGCGGGGAAGCACCAGGGTCAGCCAGGAGGCAGAAGGAGTGAGGAAAAAGCACGGACAGACAGCTTTATGGTGGTTTTCAGGAGAAGGAGCAGTCGAGGCAGGGTAAGCAGTTGAGCAGGCTTAGGGTTGGTTCAAACGAGTTCAAATATGTCCCGTGGGCTCTGGGTTATATGGGGGGTCCTAGTTGTCTGGTAGCTGGCCCTGGGGCGATTTAGGGCAGAAGGGTTGTGTCCCATATGGCAGGACCCTGATAAAGGAGGCAGGTAGGAGTATGAACTCTGAACCGGTTGGTTTGCATATCAAAAGTGTGCTTATGAGCAAGTTGCTTGGGATCTCTAGGAATTAGCTAACTCCAGGAAAGGACATCTCTCCTCCAGTCTGTAAGACCTGAGATGTCAAAGCATCACATAACATAGAAAATTTAAAATATACTTAGTACAGGAGGGTATATATTAATTAAAAACCCCAGCCGGGTGCAGTGGCTCACGCCTGTAATCCCAGCACTTTGGGGGGCCAAGGCAGGCGGATCACTTGAGGTCAGGAGTTCAAGACCAGCCTGACCAACATGGTGAAACCCCGTCTCTACTAAAAATACAAAAATTAGCCAGGCATGGTGGCGCATGCCTGTAATCCCAGCTACTCAGGAGGCTGAGGGAAGAGAATCACTTGAACCCAGGAGGCGGAGGTTGCAGTGAGCCAAGATCATGCCACTGCACTCCAGCCCGGGCAACAGATCAAGACTCTGTCTAGAGGAAAAGTTAAAAAAGCCCTCTGTGCATGGGCCTTTTTACTTTCCCCCATGATGCCACAAGCAGCAGTCAGGGCTGTGAGTGCTTTACTGGATGATTTCACCATTTTTGGAGCACATTACATGTGGACCATTTACAAGTCTAAAAGGGCTAAAACACGTGCCCGTTTACTATTTTCCTCTTGGTATAACCTCCCATAAATGAGTCTTTATTCACTCCAGGGCTTGAATCATGGCATTCTTTCTTTAGAAATATGATTATCTGTTCCTTTAACAACCAAAAAGTTACAGTTGTGCGAAGGTGGGGAGAAGGTGTCTACCCGTTATTGATGTCACTCTATGCTTTTTACAGGATGATGCTCATTCCAAGATTTTCTGTTTTATTTCTGTCTTTTGCAATCGTTGGCCTGCTTTGCTGCCATAAATGAGGGAATTGTGGCTAAGAGAGCAATCTGCCGGAAGCATCTCCTCATCCATCGGTGGACACTAACCACAGCTATAACCGGGACAACTAGAGACACTGTCCAAGTCCTCTGTCAAATTCACAACTTAGCTTGCCCTTAGGTGTGAATACAGACTGACCCCAGGGCCGGAGGGGCTGCTGTTGTGAGCCTTTCCTGCTGGAGGGGCCTAAGGACTCAGTTCCCTTTATCTAAGACAAAACCGAATGGAGACAGTAAGAGCCCATCACACTCCACCCTCCCTCCCTCACCTTCTTGCAGAGCTGGTAGAGTGTAGTGGCCAAGAGCAGGTCCTCTGCGGTGTCACAATTGGAGACCTCTTCTGAATCCATCCCTCACCAACTCAGTGACCAGAGCTGGTTACCCAACCTCTCAGTGCTTCAGGTTTGGTTTGATGTTTTCAATCTCTAGAATGCAACAGTCGTAGAGTTGGTGAGAAGATTATGCAGCTGTGCTGAGGAAAGAGTAAGAGCTCAAACATGTCAGCTGTCATTCAAATGTCACTACAATGGCCTTTTTTCAAGTGTGATCCACTTGCACCAAAATTACCTGAGGTGCTTGTGACAAGGATCTTACAGATTCAGTCTCCACGGAAGGTTCCAGAAGTGTTTTAGTGATCGAGGCAGGGGCTCTACAGTCAGACAGACCCAACTTCAAATCTTACCTTGCACCTTAGTTAGATCTGCGTGATGTGCAACAAGTTAATGCATTTAGCTTCTTGGAGTCTTTGTTTCAATAAATTAAGACATTAATATCTATCTTGTTTGGCAAATATGTATCAGTGTTTGCTATGTATAAGACACTCTGCTAGGTGCTGGGAACAAAATAGTGAACATTCTTGTAAAATCTATTTGCTCAGATCTTTGTCAGACCTTTGGAGGGCACTGCAGATCAGTCACAGCCAAATCCATCCCTGTTAATGGCAACCTATCATGGTCATGGGTAGCTCCAAAAATGCCATGGGAGGGATGACTGCAGACTCCGCGTTATGGGCTACAAAGCCATTCTCTTTACATTTTAGCAGTTCCCATGAAAACCAGTCACCAACTGAAATGCACCTGAGTTTCAGGTGCCTTTTCGTCACTCAACTTCAGTGCTGGGGCCTCAGCTCCACCTCACTGCAGCTTGGATTGCAATGAAATGCAGAACTATGGGCGACTGGTTATACCACCCAGCCTAACAGATACCACAGCATGGAGGAAAGAACACTAATTCATTTCCAGGATCCTCAATGTCTACCCCTCATCCCCTAACCTTCAAGTCTGTAGGACGTCTAGCTACTCCTAGGAAAGTGAGGTTAAGTTCCATCAACCTACTTAAGTAAGTTGATATCTAGTTTGGTAGTAGTTCTATCTGAAATTACTTATGTTGGTTTTCAACAGAGATTCCACATCTTTTGCAGAATCCAAGCCTGGGCTATTAATAAAAATATCTTAGATTGTGTTTGTATTTTTTTTTTATCTGGAGTCTCGCTCTGTTGCCCAGGCTGGAGTGCAGTGGTGCAATCTCGGCTCACTGCAACCTCTGCCTCCCAGGTTCAAGCAATTCTCCTGCCTCAGCCTCCCAAGTAGCTGGGAGTTCAGGCACGTGCCACCATGCCCAGCTAATTTCTTGTATTTTTAGTAGAGATGGGGTTTCACCATGTTAGCCAGAATGGTCTCGATCTCTGACCTCGTGATCCACCTGCCTCAGCCTCCCAAAGTGCTGGGATTACAGGCGTGAGCCACTGTGCCCAACCTGTATTTGTATTTTTGACCATTGATAGAAAATCTTTAAGAAGTATGGAGTGAATTAGGACAAATACAACCTAATAAAAGTGATGTGTTAAATAGTCTGGGGCAGTGTAGGCCTATGGTCTTTGGAGTCAATGACCTGCATTGGATGTCTGAATTTGCCACAGTAGGCTGGCTATGTCACCTTAAGCAAGTTGCCATCCTCTCTGAGCCTTGGTAGAGCGAGACTTCTTGCCTGCTAGGAGGGCAGCAGGGATCAAAACAAGAATGAATGTCTAGTGCTTGGCACAGAGCTTTGCATGATAAAAGACATTTTGTATATCATAGCTCTGGATTATTATGATTATTGGATGATGGCACTTTCATATTTTCCATGAGATTGAGCTTGTACTGAACCTTGACTTATTTTTATCTTCAATTGCTCCTATGAGGTATGCAGGACTGGTGTGATTTTTAGATGAGAAGTTAAGTTCCTTGCTGGGGCAGACATGGTTCCCACTCAATTCTGCCACTGCACAGGAGTTCTCCTTCACAGAATCTCAGTGGGCAGTGGGTTTGTTGTCTGTTCTTCCATCTGAGCTGTTCTCCTATCCTGCTAGATGCTTGCAAGACCCCCAGTGGTTGCAGGCACCCAGACCCTGAAGGAGGTACATTGGCTTTAATGCAGCTGTCTAATGTGATAAGCTGACACCTGTCTTGTGGTCTAATTGTGTTGTTATGGGTCCTTTTGCCTTCATTTCACGCAAGTAGAGAAGGAAGTCAGTATCAGAAACGCCACTCAGTACAGACCAAAACTTGACTACCGTGGTTTTATAAGTCATGGAGAGTTTATTAAACTCTACCAAATTGATAGCTAGAAAGGACTCTGACTAGGAGAAGCCCATAAACTTAATGGTACTTACTAATTTATGGGCTATTATTACAACCTGAGTAATCTTTATATAAAAGCAGTAAAGAGCTGTGATTTAGTTAGGACAGTGCTTACTGTCTCCACTTACAGAGATGACGGTTCCATCAACGTCTGAGCCACATAGGCCCCCAGCAGAGTGCTCCCCACTGCAAAACAGAGTGCCTTTCTTTTCTTGAAGCCTGTCTTCTACTTGACGAATTTATCTCCTGGAGATCAGTTCCTTATTTTGACAATCCAAGCCTGGCAATGGGGCAGGAAGACAGCACCATGAGGTATAGAGATGCCAACTGGACACTGATCACCTTGGGCTCTTTCCTCAATGCATCCTTTTGCTGACCCTAAATTCAAGCTGAATATCCTCCCTCGCAGTCTTCAGTTTCCTCATCTGCAAAATGGTAGGGCTGGCTTAGTGGCTTCCAAGATCGCTTCTGTGATTGTAGCTGTGTCCAGGATCCAAAAGGCCATCTGATGCAGCAAACCACTGGCAAACAGTCCCACCCCAGAAGAGGCTCAATCATCTTGGCTGGAGCACTCACATGGCCTGAGGATAGAACTTGTCCTGCTTGTCAAATCATTCCTCCCCATGAATTGGATGAGAAAGAGTCTGAGGTGCTGGGGGGGTTCTCATTATGGCAGGTGGGGGCTCCCTTCCTACATTAACCCCTTGTTCAGGAGCCAGTTCCAATGTCATAGGAGGCAAAACAACATGGGAGAAGAAGCGGGGATATAGAACATCATAAAGACCTTCAGGTGGCACATAACACAAAAATGAAGAGGGGCAGGGAATGGGCTGTTTGGAAATACTTCTCCAGAGACACTCCAGCTGCAGGGTAGGGGGCAGGCTAGAGTGGGGGCCTTTGTGGGTGACAAGCCCAGTAGCTGGGGCATCTTTGTGGCTTCATGTGCTGCCAGGGGCTGGCCCACTAGCCATTGCTGCAGGCACCTCTCCTTTTGCAGACCCAGGCAGGGCTGGCCCAGACAGCATTTTACATTCAATTCCTGCTTAAAGCAGGGAGGTCCAGGCAGGAGGTCCAAGGGGAGGTTTTGGCCTTTTCCTCCTAACTGCAGCTGCTCATGTTATGCTTGGTGTTGGGCGCAATGGACACAGGGAGTGATTTCATTGTATAGACTCACCCTCCCCACCCCTTGCCAAGTGGATAGAAACTCCACATCCTTGACCACAGACCCTCACTGTGTTTCTGGGTACACATTCAATATGTCTATCTGCCCCATCCCTGGCCCACCTTCCCATCTAATTCCTCAGCATAATCAGCAGCAAATGTGAAAAAGCAAGAACACCCAGTTCTGAGTCTCAGCCTGGTCCCAGGCAGCGGATTACAAGCACTTAAACTGCTCAGCGCTGTTGTCACACAGTCTTACTAAGTGTCGTGGGTGTTTGACGTACCAAGGGACACACAGAATCACACCAACACATCCCACTACTCTCTAGCCATGGTAAATGTGTTGCCTAAAAGCATTGCAGGTTTCACCCTTTTTATTAAACACCATTATTCCAGGGGCTTGATTATTAGTACATTGGTGTTGGATGTCAAAAAGATGAAATCAGGAACCATAATTTTAATTAATGAAAATATTAGAAAACACTTCGGTCATTTTTGTTTGATTGACTTTTCTTTCACTTTTGAGATGGAAAGGCTGAGTTTCCAGGCTTTGGTTATCTCTGAGTGCCCAGGACACCAGGAGGTCTGGGCTTTTCCTTCTATGGACCAAGGGCAGCAGACAGGAGGAGAGGGTGCTGGAGCCCAGGCTCCTTAACATGGTAAAGAGGCTAAGAGCAGATCCCTGGCAGGGGTTCAAATCCCAGTTTGGCCATTTTCCACCTCCGTATGTAAACTCCCCACAGCTCACCTTCCCCATCCACAACTGGAGGTAACAGCAGCACCTCATGAGGTTGATGTGAGGATTTAACATGCAGTGCCCACAAAAGCACCTACAGCAGGAGCTAGTACTATGGGCCCAACAGATGCAAGGTCTATTTCTGTTTCAAAAGCAAAAGAGCACTTAGAGATGGCCAAACCCTGGACACTCAGTCCTTTCCTCTGACTATCTCAAGCTCTGAGGGAAACCCTTCAAGACCTAGGGTTAGTCCTGTTTCCCTTTTCCAGTGGAGAATTCGCAGGACACCTCCAGAATATGGAGCCTTAACACAAGCATCACACAGCCGGAAGACACTAAGGCAGATGTACCAGTCTCCACAGAAAGGGACGGTGCCACAAGGCAGCCCAGGGCAGGGAGAGGTTGACATAGTAGAAGGGGAAACACATGGGCTTGGAGCCAGGAGACCTGAGTTTGAACTTTGCCATTTCTGGACTTCAGGAGATTCACATAACTTCTTCAAGCTTCGTTTTTTTCATCCATCCTATAATGGTCATACCCCCCACCATGACCTAAACACATAAAATTGTTGTGAGGCTCACATGAGAAAACAGATGTCAAATACTATAAAATGAAACACATCCAGGAGAGCATCTCACACGTAGTAGGTGCTCAGTAACTTACTGTTGAGAGAGACAGGTTCCATGCTGGCAGGTCACCTGAGCCACTGCCTGTGTCTTCTGGAGGGCGGGAAGAAGCTTCCCTTTAACCTGGATTTATGTAGATTGGTCTCAACTAAATGAAAGACAAATGTTAGATTTGACACAAGTCGGAAGATTTCCCAATAGCCTTGAGCCTGTTGCCAGGAGAGTGTCAATGTGGGTTCTACCCCATTTGGTTGGTTTGGAGATAATCTTGCCTGAAGACAAAGGACACAGCTTAATGACCCTCCAGGTTCTTCTCCTACTTGGAATTCCAAAAGAATGGCCATGAGAATGTTGCAATCATGGCTGGGTTCATTCATGTTCCAGCTAAGCAGACAGTAGAAGTTGACCCTCTGGCCAGTGGTTTGTATTTATTACGATTATTCATTCATCAAAGTGGTCCCTTGCAATGAGATGCTGTCTGCCTCAGAAATCTAATAACAGGGTCATTAATTATTGAAGCCAGGGTCATCATCAGGTGAATTGAAGCTGAAATTGTCCACCATCATGTAATAGTTTTCACAATTGAGTTTACCTTATAAAACCTTTCTCATCTTCTTCTTTCCTCACCTATGCCATCCTCACAGGTGGGTGAGTCCACATGAGCACATGCTTGCCATGTAACACACATATCTCCTAGTAACAAGCAATTGGAATATTCTAGATGGATGTTAAGCCTATATGAGAATGGGACTATTTCTCAGTATTTCAGAAGATGCAATTTAGCATCTACAATTCAATTATATAATCCTCCAAGCATTAGACATCAAGCCACAATTCAAACAGATTTCCTTCTAAAACTTAATGCATTCATCAGAACTTAAGGGGAGATTGCTCCAATGAATCACTTCTCACAGATGCAACATCAAGCTGTCAGGCTTCCATGGGCCTCTCAGCATTGACACGAGTGACCTCTTAATAGCAGGGCAAGGAAAACGCTCACCACTCAAATGGAAGGGGGTGCAGAAATGGACATTTTTGCCAATACTAATAATAATGACCGTAAAGAGTTATGGCACAGTTTCAGACTTTGCACAGCACACTTTAAGTCTCATAACAACCCTAAGAGATCAGTGAGGTAGGCATTATTGTTATGATTATTAGTATTCTCACTTGATAGATGAGAAAACCAAAGCTCCAAGAAGTCAGGCTTTTGGCAAAGTTTTCACAGGCATCGAGTGACAAATGAAGAAACTGAATTTCCACTGGCCAAGTCCAAATCTTACTTCCCAGACAGTGAGAACAGCATTTATAGAACCAGAAGTTTGAGGACCAAAATATAATTCTTATAATGCATATTTTTTGTCTTGGGGATCATCCTTGGTTGCAAGTAGCATCTTTAGTCCCTTGCAGTGCCTACCCAGGTGCTGTCACACAATCTGGGATTTCTGGTGTCTCCTCACTCCTCTAGGTGTTTGGGTGACACCAGGCTGACCCTGATGGAAAACGCAAAGTCCTCCTTGGCCCAGGACCTCTGTGAGAGGCTCAAAGGGCAAAACCCCCAAGAGCTATCTTCTCTGTAAGCCTCCAGACTCTTCCCTCTCCCTTGAGAACCCTCCAGCTTGGACACCTCCCCTCTTCACCTCTGTATCTCTTCCTTACTCATAATCTCCCCTCCAACTCCCTGACTTGTGTGCTTATTGAGGACAAGGACCACATCTCATGTAGCTTTGTATTCTGACACAAGTAGTTGATTTCAATGGCCAGGGAATATCTGTGGAATGAATGAATGAGGAAAGTAATCAAGTAATGAATTATTGGGGAGAGATACAGACAAGTGTAGAAAAAGGGAAATGCCTGGATGTTTTTCCACGTTGACCCTTTCCCCCACCCCAAAGTTCATAGTAATGCATCTAACAATGATCCACATTTTTTTTTTTTTGAGACGGAGTCTCGCTCTGTCGCCCAGGCTGGAGTGCAGTGGCGTGATCTCAGCTCACTGCAAGCTCTGCCTCCCGGGTTCACGCGGTTCTCCTGCCTCAGCCTCCCGAGTAGCTGGGACTACAGGCTCCCACCACCACACCCAGCTAATTTTTTGTATTTTTAGTAGAGACAGGGTCTCACTGTGTTAGCCAGGATGGTCTCGATCTCCTGACCTCATGATCCACCTGCCTCGGCCCCCCAAAGTGCTGGGATTACATGCATGAGCCACTACACCTGGCCATGATCCACATTTTAATGTGGATCTGGCTTCATTACATGATGGCTTTAACCCAGCCCTGGAAATGACAAAGTAAACCCAAGCACATTTTCATCTTTCACCATGCTGGAAAAATCCCAAGTCTTTGGTAAGCTCGCAGGTAACATGGGAAAGGCAGGTGGGGATCCATGCACAGGTCTTCATGACATAGCTGTGGATGGCTGGGTTAGACACACACTGGGCAAATGAACAGGTGAAGGGGTGCATAGTGAGCCAGCCTTGTAGTAATGAAACCCGGTTATTCAGAGGCCCAGGTGAGCAGCGGAAATAAAACAGAGTTGCCATCAACTAAGGTCAGGTTCTTCTGGTCAATGTTCCATCCTCCTGTGGTTCAAAATAGATGCTACATTACCATGAACATGAGAGTTAGGCCAAGTTCTGTCCAACATGCAGACATTAGGAAAAAGCAAGCACAGACACAATCACACAATCTCTTCCTGTAACTGGGGGAAGCTTCTCTCTCCGGCTTTATGACAATGCAGAAATATCATCAGATGTGGTTTGTTGATTCCTAGATTAATGGTTTATATATATGTGTGTGTGTGTGCATATACATATGTGTGTGTATAAATATAAAATATACACACACACTATATGTATACACACATACTATACAGCATATGGATATAAAGGTATACACATAATACAGAAATTATACCCACACATGCTTATATTTGCCTATATTTAAGAAATTTGCATCATGCACAGCCAGTGAAACTTTACGCTTTCATATCTAAGCCATTTCAGCTCAGGTTAGGCTAAAGAATACTTTTTCACTGTTGGTTTTGAGAAGCAACATGATATGTTGGAAGGAGCAACGACAGAAAGAGATAGGCACAGGTTCCAGTTCTGTCCCTGTTCCTAGTGCCCAGGAAGGCTACGTAATCTCTATAGACCTTGGTCTCCTGATTTGGAAAATAGAAATAATAAACCACACACACATCATGTTGTTCTAACAGTTAAACATGGTTGTGGAGGTCAAGCATTTAACATGTGTCTGGATCCATTAGGTGTTAAGAAAATAATATGTCCTCCCCTTTCCTCTTCTCAATATAGTAAAATAATCAGATGAGCAGCATTTCACCAGGACATAAAGTGCTTACAACTGGAAGGAAAAACCATTTTTCAAGGTGATGTAGACCATTTATTGTTTTTATGTAAATGTGATTGTAACTTAAAACAAGCTGTATCTAGTGACCAGTGGTGACCTTACAGTGTCTTTTCTTGGCAGTGCTACGTTAGCACTGGAAACTGGTTCAAGTTACCATAGTTTGCTTGCTTTTTTAATTCATAAGGACATCTTTCTTTGATTCTACTCTATGAAACATAGACTGTCAACTAATTCTGGGTAATCTCTTCTCCCTACCTGCAGGATTTTCTGTATTACAAGCTCTGGTAGTATCTAGATTAAACCATCTAAGAGTAAATTCCTGGAAGTCAAGGTCAGAGAGCTTTTCTTACACAGCCTCCCATCACCCAATCCACCATGGCTTACCAGGGTTATCCTCTTAAAATTCCCTCCTGTCCTGTATGAGTCTCCTCAGTGGAGTCCGTCTCCATTCCAGCTGTGTGTAGCCATAAGTTTGACAAATCAACGAGTTCCTGGACACCTTCCAGAATCTGTGGAATTTGAGTCCGGCAGCGACTCAAAAATGGTAAGGGGGAGGAGCTAGTTTTACAGCCAAACATGCGTGCAGATTAAATCAGTGCCCTGCCAGATGAAATGCTTGCCCTTCTACGTGTTCCTGAGGCGTGACCCTCTGAAAGCATGAATCCCCATGGGCATTGCGCCAGGACACAGGAATCCTGCTGCTCAGCACAGCAGTTCATAGCATTCACAGCGTCTGCCATGTCGTTTCAACTGTTGATTCTGATTGCTGTTGCTTTTATCGTCTCGGCATATCCAACACTGCAGCTATGAAATAGCTGATAATTCATCTCGTTGAAGACCCAGGTCTTAAACATTTGCACCATCTGAATCTGACCCTCAGGTCTGGACAAGTAGAGGCCTGTAGCATGGAACCTGGGTCGTGCCGAGTGGGCACAACCTTGGAGCATACATCCCCCTCCCCCATCCACTGCTTCATTATTTGCCGTCTCCATGGAAACCCCATTCTGTACTGTCAGAACTCACCTTGGCCACCTTTGTACTTACCACCTAAGCACTTTCTTGGTGCTATGGTACTACATATGAAACAAAAAAAATTTTTTTTGAGACTATCTTGCTCTGTCATCCAGGCTGGAGTGCAGGGGCACGATCTCAGCTCTGTTCAGCCTCTGCCTCCAGGTTTCAAGCAATTCTCCTGCCTCAGCCTCCCGAGTAGCTGGGATTACAGGCACACACCACCATGCCTGGCTAAATTTTGTATTTTAGTAGAACCAGAGTTTCACTATGTTGCCCAGTCTAGTCTTGAACTCCTGCCCTCAAGTGATCCTCCCACCTCAGCCTTCCAAAGTGCTGGGATTACAGACATGAGCCACCGCCCTATGCAAAATTTAAAAGGAACTTTTGGTGACCCAATTTATACAGGGCAACCTCCAGTCTTTTAACACCTAAGTTATTAGGGATTTCATCTTGACCAGTGGGTAGGTCACAACAGGATCCCGGTGGTGGTGAAAAACCCATGAACACGACACATTCATACCCCTGGACTTCCCCTCACTCCGTTCGCTTCTTCTACAGCAGCCCTTGGACAAGCAAAGACAATGCCAACAACATCAGCCATCATCCCTGAGATCTTTCCCATCATGGACACCAGCCAAGTAATAAGTGACCCCAGCCCCCAGTGTTATTTTGCTTTGGGAGGGTATATCCAGGGTCCTTGGTGTCTAGATTTATCCACACAACCACAAAACCAACCACACAAAGACTGATGGGCAGATTAAGTCAATCACCTAGGAACTCAAGGAATGGGACATTTCTTGCAGCAACTCAATGGATCTAATTCTTCATGACCTAGAACACCCTCCCTTCCCACCAAAGAAGCTTCCAGCTTCATCCCATCTGTCACCTTGTAGCCCTCCCTTCAGCTCCATTAACAAGCCAGCATCCAACTCGCCCTCACTCCCACTACTGCCCCCAGCCTACTAAAGGGACTACAAGAAATACACCAATTATTAAGAGCCCCAGGGAGGGCATATGAATAAAAGACACCACCTGTCACCAACCTCTGAGCTGAGAGATGGAGGTACCCTGGGTTTCCTGGACAGCTGGTAAGGGTGCAGGTTACAAGGGGTTCTCGTAGTGTATGTCTTGTTTTTGTTTCTTTTCTCTATTTCTAAAGCTATTATTTTTTTATCCCTTCTTTTTGGCTCTTTCTCTCTTTCCTTTCATATGAATTATAAACATATGTATATATTTCTCTGATAATCAGTATGCCTGGCTATACTTGACCAAGACTTTTGTTAAAGAAACAAACTTTATATCTGGGAAGTGCAGGTCTGGGGACTGAAAGGAAAGCTATTTTCCGGAAGCACGTTTTATTGCTTTTATGACTCAAATATCTCCATCTCACCTCATTTTCCTTTAAAGCTAAATATGTAGCAAATGGAGATGTACTGATATGGAATCTCAGTGGGAAATGATTGCAGACAAAAAGCTTATTAGCGTGGTTTCTTCTCTTCTAAAAAAACCCTCCCCTTTCCCAAAATAACTGATAAATGGTCCTTTGTGGAGATGGTTGTGATGCAGCTTCAACAGTTATGAAAACCCTGCTTTACATCTTGCTGGAAATGAGAGCATGCATCACAGTTCTGGATGGCAAATTTGGTGGCTTGCTTCTTGTGGTAACTTAACTGAGGCTCAGAAAGCGTTAGGCTTTAGAAGACAAGTTGACTCCAACTCACAGAATTTTAATCTTATAATATTTTCGACTTTTAATTTTCCAAATAATGTTTATAAAGTAGAAGGACGGAGGATATGTGAATCCAACTCTGTTCCCAAAATGGTATAGCCACGGTTGTTATTTTTGGCTTTTTCTTCTTAATATCTTCACTTGGCTTTTTGAGGATATTATCTAGAGAAGTAAGAACTTCTGACTTCTCAAGGCCCCATTTGTGCCTGAACTCAGCCGAGCATCTCCGTGACCCTAAATTGCCTCGTGTCTTCATATCCATTTAGCCATAAAACTCTCGTTGTTCAGCTGATCTCAACTAGATATCCAGAAGAAAGCAGTCTTATTAAACATTCATCATAAAGAATGAATGGTCAATTGACTTGGGCCTTCCCAAGAGAATTTTTACTTTAAGAAGGAAGTTGTTAACATAAATCAATGTCTAATAGGTGGAATTTTAGGTATCAATATCAACATTTATTGAAGGCTTATTAAATGTTGGTCACAGTCCTCTGTGCTTTGTAGTAAAGTCACAGAATTAAGAGAAGCAGCCTTGCAACACGGGGAAGGAAACCCTTCCTACCACCTCCTTCTTTCACCCTTTCAGCTGCAGGCTCCTACTTCATCCAAGGATCCACCTAAGAGTCCACCCTCACCCAGTGTTCTCATCAAGTCTAATTCTTCTACATTCAACACTTACTTGGAGAAGATCCCACTAAGTGCGTATCTTTCTGCACACATACCTGGTCCTCTCTGCCCCATCAGCACCCATATCCTAAGCCACCAAGAACACCCAAGCCCAGTCCACTTACCTCCTAAAAACTGAGTTTAAGGACAGTAATAATTTGTATGTTAACTTCTTTTTCCGTCCCATCTCCACCTCTTTATCTCCTAATTTAAAAATATTTTCTAATCTAAAGTAGGTCTTTTTTTCTTCCTAAATTGTTTCTTTATATAAAATGTTTTCGGATGATGGAAAATTACTGAGTCATTTACAAAGAAGATCTTTCCATTTCAATTTTTAAATGTAATTCATCCTAAACCAATGTTTTCTCATGCTTCTCTATAACATGGGCATACGGTTTATCTTTCAGCTAAAAAAGCAGGATGTACACAGTGGTCACTGTTAATATGAACTCTGTTTAGAGGTCAATTGCATTAAACAGACTTCCTCCCCAGCAGATCCAAGATGCCAGCCTGATTTAATCTTGGTCTCTTAGAGAATTAATGTCGTTTCTGAATGTGGCATGTAGTTTCAGAGGGGACTTAGTTAGCCTTGGAATCTTATTTACTCTTTACTGGCTTCTGAGAAACTGAGATCTAAAAGTCTTCATGCATGGAACAGCCACATAGGCATCAGAAAGGCAAATCAAGAAAGTAAGAAGGACTCGTGTCCAGGGATCCGGGTTCTTTCCCTGGTAAGGGGCGTTTGCCTTGGTACATCAGCGATCTCTGTCTAAGCCTTTTTCCAGAGAATACTTACTGAAGATTCACTGGCATGAATTTTGTCTTGCAATCCATCTGTTCCCTTTGATTGGATGCATCAATTGTGTCCTGAAATCTTTGAATCTTCTTTTAACAGGCTATGGAAACTTCCTTTAGCATTGAATCTGTCAAAAACAAGTCAGGGATCTTTAAATATACCTTTCTCCCCAGTCCTGATGATTCAGGGTCAGTATGAACAGTGTTTGCAGTGACATGTCTGCATTTTTTCACTGTCATAATCCCAGTGCCTAGCATGATGTCTAGCACACAACCAGCACTTAATAGAAAGATGTTAAATAAACATCTATTGTGGTTATAACAAAGAATATAATATAACAAATAATAGTACTACAACATAGATAACAGACCAAAGAAGCTTCAGAGCCCTAAGGTGAATGAGGGTTCCAGTGTCTCTGAAACCCAAAGCAGAAGGTGCTCATTCCATCATCATGTCCCTTCTTCTGCCAGCTCTTCTAATACCCCATCTCTTCAATGCTTACCTTCCTTGGTCATTTTACCTCCATTCAATTATTTTCCAATGGGCTGACTTTCTAAACCGATAATAAAATATTGATAGCCAAAAGATATTGGGGAGGGGAGGGAGACAAATGAAGATGAAGGATGCGGATTGTAGTTGAGGTTGTCATTTTGGAGTGTCACTTATCTGAGCTGTAAATTACATTACAATTTGTGAGAGTTTATCTCCCAAAATTCTAGGAAGACTGCTGAGAGCAGTAAGTGTGGATAGAGGAGGTGCTGGATTACACCTCACAGGGGTCCCTGCAGGGTGGAGAGTCCCAAATGAGGAGGCTTCCAAGGGATGGGCATGTCATAGCACTCAGAGAGAGGTGGAGAATGCAGGGGCAATATGACAGTGTGGGGACAGAGAGACAGACACTGAGCAGCTCTGGTAAATGTGTGATTTGAGGGAAGAGAAAGTCTACATGCAGCAATGTGCTGTATAAGCTGTCCCACCAAGAACATCCTGGTGAAGATCTACTTGTTCTTTAAGGCATATGGCAATTGATTTGTGTTGAACAGATTGGCCCCAGAGGCAGCTTAATAATACTTCCTTAATATTATTCTTGAAATAGCCAAAGACAGACAGCAAAAGTTAGAAAGGCAAATAAAGGGCCAGGAGAATTCTCTATAAAAGCTGTAATTCCCAAATATTTAGTTCCATGGGCCGTGCAAATATTAAAAAGCTTTTTGAAACTAACTTTTAGATTTTGCTAAGGGAAGCCACTGGGGCAGGGGCAGGGAGAACTAACCTACATTAACAGTATCATATAATAGTAAATCATATTATTAAGTAAATAGTAAATCATATAATAGTAAATTAACCAGCAGAAAAATCAGAAAATATATATTTTAAATAAAGTGTAGTCTTTAAAGCTTACTAAATTTAGCTTTGTGGAAATCCCCTTAAATTGTTCTTACAGTATTTTCTGCATGCTGTCATAGATCAATGAAAAATTCTTCATGGCTCCCCAGAGCAGTGTTTGGGAACAGCTATTTTTGAGGCCCCAAGGCACACAGGTCACAGTGAACTCTTATCAAACTTATGAGCCCTCTCCCTGACCCCCAAATATGCATATGTACACAAGCTTCCATGAAGAAATCCAAGGAGTCCATCTCTAAGGCAAGCACCTATGCTGCGTAGGACCCATTGTGTTGACAGAGATGGTCATTTGATTGAAACGTGCCATGGCTACTGTCATTTTTTATAGCTGTGTATATTGAGGTATGGCAGTTCAATAACATAGTCTATCACCATATGAATTAGTGGCAGACCAAGAAATAAAATTCACATGACCCAAGTCACAAGTCCAACACTGACTTAGCCAAACTACTTAACATCCTGAGAATATAACACAGAAGGCCAATGATATTTCCCTAAAAAGTGAATCACCAAATCTACCCTCTTCCTACCCTGGGGGCAGAAGCTGGTATTGGGGGTGGGGATGGAGGTGTTGGAAACAAGAGAGCCACTGAGGACAGAAAACAAAAATGATGCATTGAACATGAGTGAAGAATATACCCACAAAACATTCGAGACGTATTTAAGAGAGAGAAAGAGAGGGAGAGGGAGGGAGGGAGAGAGAAAGAGAGGGAGAGGGAGGGAGGGAGGGAGAAAGAGAGAGAGAGAATGAACTCACTAAATAAGACAGCTTTCTTCCTTCATCTCACTTAGCCTAAGTGGAAAAAAACAAACAAACAGGAAACTACTCCAATTAAACCTAATATAGTAAGTGTCTTAATATGTGAATATCTTGAGTTTGGCTTCTACACAGCACTCTATGATGACATATGTGTGGGAACTTTGAACTCACACATATGTAAGTGATGTCAAATGTAAAGTTTGTTTCTGTAGAATTTAATTAATTTCACTGAGGAAAGGAGAAGTTTCCTCCCAATCCCCATAACCTTTTTCAGATACCAAGGCTAAGAACTCCAAGTACAACTACTTAATACAGTCCAAAGTTAGGTTTAAATTCAAACGTAATGAACAAAATACAGCAGTATAAATATTTACTAGCTTAAAAGTAATCAAAGCTTTATTGAACTAGAATCTTTCTACTTCACACTTAGATTATAAAATATGCAATTCACAGGAAAGCAAATATATATTGGGGATCTGATATGTATTAGCAGTTCTTAGGCATAACCATTTCACTCTCCTAAACACTCTGTTCAGATATGTGATACAATCACAACCCAGAGAAGCTGTCAGAGAGATGGTGCCTCTTCCTACCTACTGATACCAGCTGAGCCTCTGCCCCAACCCCTGCGCCCCCAGCCTGGCTCTGAGCCTGGAAAAGATTGACTTCATAGCATAATCCATAATTCCTGCTAAGATGTTAGTGTTTGAAGATGTTACTGCTCTCCGAAATATTTATACTTTGAAAGATGATCCCAGAAAGCACATTGATTAATTTAATAAAATACACTTCTACTGGTGGAATTTCAGATAGAATGGCATTTTGATGGAGAAGCTATTTGGAGTGGAGGAAGACTTATCCAGTGCTAGTTGTCTTACTATGCTAGTTATTTTTGATGCCTAGAAATAGCCCTGGTACTTCTACTGCTACTAATGCTACTGAAATGACTCTGTTTGTGTATATACATTTGGGTGTGTGTTCATGACAGTGTTTTTGGTTTTTTGTTTGTTTTTTGTTTTTGTTTTGAGACGGAGTCTCGCTCTGTTACCCAGGCTGGAGTGCAGTTGCACAATCTCTGCTCACTGCAACCTCCACCTCCCAGGTTCAAGGAATTCTTCTGCCTCAGCCTCCCGAGTAGCTGGGACTACGGGCATGCACCACCACGCCCAGCTAAGTTTTGTATTTTTAGTAGAGATGGAGTTTCACCATATTGGCCAGGCTGGTCTTGAACTCCTGACCTCGTGATCCGCCCGCCTCGGCCTCCCAAAGTGCTGGGATTACAAGTGTGAGCCACTGCGCCCGGCCTCATGACAGTGTTATTAATAAGGCAGTGGGCAAGGGACCTGATATA
Source organism: Homo sapiens (assembly GCF_000001405.40). Taxonomy (NCBI): domain Eukaryota; kingdom Metazoa; phylum Chordata; class Mammalia; order Primates; family Hominidae; genus Homo; species Homo sapiens. The sequence goes on along the minus strand of NC_000010.11, from coordinate 14,067,490 downwards.
TTGATGCTATTTCCTAGTTCTGCTGTCATAAATAAAGCTGACCGATTGTTCTATGTTTAGCTTTCTTTTCCTTTAAGTGTTGTTATAATAAATCTTTCCTGTTCCCCTCTATACTGGTTGTTATTGTCTAAATACTTGTCATTAATATCAATGAGACATACTAATTTTTTTTTGAGAGGGAGTCTCTCTCTCTGTCGCCCAGGCTGGAGTGCAATGGCATGGTCTCGGCTCACTGCAGCCCCTACCTCCTGGGTTCAAGCGATTCTCCTGCCTCAGCCTCCCGAGTAGCTTGGATTACAGGCACCCGCCACCACGCCCAGCTAATTTTTGTATTTTTATTAGAGACGGGGTTTCACCATGTTGGCCAGGCTGGTCTCGAATTCCTGACCTCATGATCCACCCACCTCGGCCTCCCAAAGTGCTGGGATTACAGGCGTGAGCCACTGCACCTAGCCGAGACATATTAATATTTTCTATTTGACTTATTCCATTGCAAGTTTGTGTATGAGCTCTCATGAAAGAGTTTGTTTCTTGAAGGATAGAAGGTTAAATGTGCGTCTACTGATAATACCTCATGATAGTTAACATTTTTCGACATTATTACTGGGTTTTGTCTATTCCATTAGTCGGAACGGAAAGAAGTCCATTTAAGTCTCTCATAACAATAACGATCATTTTCCCCTCAATTTCTCTTTCTTTTTTTTGATACGTTTTGCTTTGCAGATTTTTATGCTAGGTTATTTGCTACATAAAGCTTCATGACTTTTATTGCCATTGTCGATCCTGCATCTCTTTTCAATCTGCTTTGACCTTCTTAGTCCTTTGGGAGGCTTTTCGCCATGAATTCAGAGTGCGGCACACAGGCGTAGGCTCCAGGTCTGAATTCTTTGGATGCTGTGTGTTCCCTTTTCTTGTTCTTCTGTGTACACTTTACACAGTTCTCATCCCACTTCCAGCGCATGCACACATACACACACACACATACAACTTCACACTCTTTATCTTCCCTACTCATTCTCTCTATCCAGATTCAAAGCATTTGCTTGTTTCTTCAACAAATATTAAATGCCTACCTAAGCTACAATCAGCCAGGTTCCTGATCTTATGGCACTGAACTGAGGAAACAGATCCATACCCACCCCTTCCCTGTGTGGACAACAGGGACCACCCCCCACACCCCCCACCAAGAGGAAGTTGTCAGAGGAAGTACGTGACTTTGGTTTGGCAGCAGGTGACAGTAAATAGCTTCTGGCCAACTCCTGGTGCAGCTCTACATACTAAGGTGGATCTCCTCCTCAGGTGCCCAGCTTTCTGCAACTCTGAATCAATGGAGTGTTTCTGAATATTTGTTCCCTTCTATGTGCTGCTATTATATTTCACGTCCAAAGGATATACTGCAGGCACTGAGCTACCACCATTCTCTATCCTCATCCCACTCCCCCTACCGACACACACACACACACACACACACACACACACACAAATACATACCCCCACTTCATACTTCCTCATACGTTGTTTTCTGGAAGTTGTAGTTTGCTGATGGCAGTAGAATGATGTCAGCAAGGATAACAGGGGGCTAGGACCCCGGGTATCTCCAACCTGCTACATGCAGAGAAGAATGCTGTGACCCCCTTTCCTGGTTTATTCTTGGTTTGTTCAGACCCTGAATCATTCAGCCAGGGACACACAGGGGAGCAACAAAGTGTGTTCCTGTCTTCTTTCATGAGAGTGGGGCTTCTTTGTTTTATAAAATTAAGCATGATTGGGCCACGGTTTATTTAATTTTGGTTACATCAGCCCTTCTGATGGGGACATTTCTCTAAACTCTGTTTCTCGATATTTTAGTTTTGGGGGCTTGAGTGAGATTTTACTCAAGTTTTCAGGGCTTGAGTGAGTGATTTCTGGGTCTTAGATATTTCAGTGGGGAATTGGAGGAGGCTGCCCTGTGACCACCACCTGGATGCTACCTCAAAGGAGAACTGGAAAGACAAAGTTCCACTGAATTAGGGCCGGGTATGGTGGCTCACATCTGCAAGCCCAGCACTTTGGGAGGCCAAGGCAGATCACCTGAGTTCAGGAGTTTGAAACCAGCCTGGCGAACATGGTGAAACCCTGTCTCTACTAAAAATACAAAAAATTATCCAGGTATGGTGGCGAATGCCTGTAGTCCCAGCTACTCGGGAGGCTGAGGCATGAGAATTGCTTCAACCCAGGAGGCAGAGGTTGCAGTGAGCTGAGATCGTGCTACTGCACTCCAGCCTGGGTGACAGAGCGAGATCCTCCATCTCTCAAAAAAGAAGGAAAAAAAAAGTCCCAATGAATGAATTAGGCGAGGCTATTCTCTATCTGTTTCCTCCTGTTGCTGATATAATGGTCGTCAATAGTGGGTGTGAAGAAGGACCCCACGAGCCCACAACATGGATTTGGCACTCCCTACCACTCAAATTCAGTAGTATACGTTGAAATGCTTAAAAACAGTATGGTAGTCAATAAATGTGTGGTGGCAACACTCTAATATAGTATTACCACTGCAGTTTTGCATTCTAATATTGCCTCTGCTGCCATTTCAATGAATGATCCATTGCTTCGCTGTTAAAAATAAGCAGAGAGGGCTGGGCGCGGTGGCTCACACCTTTACTCCCAGCACTTTGGGAGGTCAAAGCAGGTGGATCACCTGAGATCAAGAGTTCAAGACCATCCTGGCCAACACAGTCAAACCCTGTCTCTACTAAAAATACAAACAATAGCTGAGTGTGATGGTGAGCACCTGTAGTCCCAGGTACTCAGGAGGCTGAGGCAGGAGAATCACCTGAACCCAGGAGGCAGAGGTTGCAGTGAGCCGAGATCGCGCCACTGTACTCCAGCCTAGACGATGGAGCAAGACTCTGCCTCAAAATAAATAAATAAAAAAATAAGCAGAATACACTGCTGAAGTTCACCAGGAGGACCAGAGTAATGAGAATCAGCATAGAGCCTGGAAAAGTTCACGCAGAAGGAATCAGAATTTCCCAAGAATAAGCATTTATTCTTTCCCAAAGCCTTCCCCTCAGGTGGCCACGGCAATGTGGAGTGGAAGAATTTGATGGTAGTTTTCACAGGGCACTGTTTTACAAGGAGAAATATTTCTGAGACTACTGGAAGTGGCCTTAACGACATGTAATTTAAAAGCACTACAGAAGGAAAAGTGCAACTGGGAACACATGCATTCTTTCAGCAAGGCTGTAGTTACGGAAAACATCAATATAAAAATAGCCTATTTTCAGGACCTCAGTATCTCAGCTCTTTGAATGCTTCTGAGTCACATTTTGCAAGGGCAACACACTTGGCCACTGTTGGGCTGTAGCTCCCACCCAGCTGGGGAGGAATTAAGTGGAATTCCATTGGTGAGCACTTCCCAGCAAAATTGCTAGTGAGCTTCTGATTGCAAAATCTTTACCCTTGGTATTGACTTAAGGAGCGGGAAGAACATGACTTGATTTTTCAAATCCCTGGTTGACATAATGCTGCTCTTAAGCTTTTGAACCGTTCAGTAGGGCTCAGAAGTCTCAGGGAAGCTGTAAAATTTCTATTTTCAGATTCTTAATTTTTAGTGAGCTGAAAACTCCTGGGGCGGTTTTTTAGTGACACATATATAACAAGTAGAGTTAATTCGCATGTTTTGACTGTGGTATCTTTCTTACTGAGGCAGATAGAAATCCTAAGGAGTTTAGAATGCATACCAGATGGGAGTTAGCTAAATCCACGTACAAGATTGTGTGGTTTAAAACGGTGATCCCCTGTCTATCCTTCCTTGATTGGATAATAGCCAGATAGTTATTAAGAGATAACTGTGTGCCCGACATCCAGTTGAACCCTAGTGGGTTTCAACAGAATTACAAAGAGTATGTCTAAAGTTGTACAATTCAAGTATATGACTTTTTTTTTTTAATGAGAAAAGGTAAAATAATGTAAGAACTCAGGTTTTTATCACACTTTCCAGCTCTTTAATTTGGGCTATGTTCCTTGAACTCTCTGAACCTCAATTTTCTATAAAATATTCAGAGATAATAAAATTCATCTTAGTGTTGCCAAGAGAACAATAACATAATAAATGTAAATGGCACAGCAAATGTCTGGCTCATTTCGATGAGCCAAATCAGGGCTGAAGCTAGAGGAAGAATCTGAATCTTGCCTCTTTTGAAGAGTCGGAGACTGACTCTCATCAACATCTGGGAGTCATTCAAGCTGGAACCGAACACGCACTAAACATAACTTCTGGGAGTCTGAGCTGGGCACCAACATACTGTTAATCTTAAAAAGAAAAAAAAAAGCAGATTTATTCCTTGCAATAGAAATAGTCATGTCTGCAAAATACGTTCTCTGCTTCTTAAGTGTAAAGCTCTTAATATCATGTCTGGCCCATATTAAGTGTTTCGTAAGTCATAGCTAAGTTGTGTAATTGGAGTTATCATGAGAAGCACTGTCAATGAAACAGGAAACATTCAACGTCGATAGGATCAGCACATTTTGTCTCTATAGGCAAAACCACTAGGATTTAAAACATGAGAGCCGGAGGAATAAAATGACAACTGGTGTGGATTAATGGACACTGTAGGTTGCCCACCCACCATCCATGTATCTTCCCCTTTCACTGGAGTGCAATGGCATGATCTCACTGCAACCTCCCAAAGTGCTGGAATTACACACGTGAGCCACTGTGCCTGGCCAGGACTGGGTCTTTGATGAATCAGTGGCACTTGAATCAATCACACCTGAAGTCCACTCTGACTCAGGACTTCAGTTATGTGAGATAATTCCCTCACAGTTGAAAGTCGGGAATTCTGTAACTTGCAGCTGAAGGCATCCAAATGAAAACAAATGACACCTACTTAGAGGGATGCACTGTCTCACAAGAGATGGTCTTGCCAATGAGACCAGAAATACTTGAAGCTCGTTGGTTACAACGCCTTATTTGTATTGCTTTCTTAGAGTCGGTTTCACCATTAGTATAAACATGCTTGAAGTTCAATGGCTAAGACTTTCTTTCCCTTCAGCATTGGCCACAAAGCCCCTGACTATGTTTATCTCTGGGAGTTTCCTTTCTACACGTCCATGGCTGATCAATCCCACCCCACTCCCAACTTGGAGAATAGCCTTCCGTGCAGCTCTGTAATCAGATACACAAAATTTTACATAAATGTAATCCTACCTGTATGTGCCCTTTTGTAATCTTCTTTTTCCCCCTAAACGATAGACCTCAAATAAACATTTCTGTCTGTAAATATTAATCCATATCACATCTTATTGGCTCTGTAACAGTGAAATACTTAACCACGTATTTAACCAACTTCTTTTTGAAGGGCATTTACATGGCTTTGTAGTTTTTCAGTACTATAAATAGCATGTTATATATACCTCTGTTTACTTGTCTGAATATTTCCTTGAGTCAGAGCTCTAGAAATTACATTTTGTGTTCCAAGGGTATGCACATTTTGAGTTTTGATTTATTTTGTCAGAATTCCTTTAGCTGCAAGGAACAAGAGATCCAATTAAAGAAATTTTGTAAGTAAGGAATTGACTGTCACATAACAAGATTTTGGAAGTTGGGGCATTGTAGTCCTAAGTCAGCAACTCAGTAATGTCACCAAACATAAAGTCTTTTCTCCTGTGGCTCATATGGTATCTTCAACGTATTGGCTTGGGCTTCATGGTCACTAAGTGGTGTCATAGTTCCAGGTACCACGTGACAATGCCCATGGGAAGAAAAGGGGTATTTCCTCCTATGCATCTCTTTTTATCATAAGGACAACGTTTCCCATAAGCTCCCTGCCAATCCCCCTTGTTTCATTTAGCCAGAATGGGCTAGACACTGAACAGAAATCAGAAATCAGTGATCTATTAGATAGAAAAGTCTCAGGATAGGGAGGAAATTGACAAACTAGTCTCTGGAAAGATTGTACCCACTTAGGTTTACGTCATGAGCACCTGGTTTTCTACCCTTTGATAATCAATAATATATTTAAAATGACAGCTTATTTTTATATTTTCCATTCGTTAAATGTGCCTTTTTTGAGATGGAGTCTCACTCTGTCGCTCAGACTGGAATCTTGGCTCATTGCAACCTCCGCCTCCGGGTTCAAGTGATTCTCCTGCCTCTGCCTCCCAAGTAGCTGGGATTGCAGGTGCACATCACCACACCTGGATAATTTTTGTATTTTTAGTAGAGACGGGGTTGATCAACACCCATGTTGATCAAGCTGGTCTTGAACTCCTGACCTCAGGTAGTCCACCCGCTTCGGCCTCCAAATTGTGGAATTAAAGGCATAAGCCACTACGCCCGGCCTAAATGTGCTTTTAAATATTGCATATTTATAGCCAGAATGTGCTTTTAAATATTGCACATTTATAGCCAAAATGTTGGCGATTTTGGCTCTTGTTTTGTAAAACTACTTGATTATATCCTCTGCCCTTTGGTCATTTTTTTTTCCTTATTGGTTTGTAAGTGCTCTGAGTATATTAGGAAAAGGAAATCTTATACATAAAAATCAAAGCTGTTGCTAATCTTTCCACTAGTGAGTCAGTCTATTAACATTACTCATGGTAGGTTTTGCCATACAGAATTTTAATTTTTTTATATTATTTTTGGCTTTGTTATTATGCTTAGAAGTCCATGGGGACCCAAAGATCAGAAAAGATTCATCTGTATTTCCTCTCTATATAAGTGGCCAGCCATTTGTCCCAGAAAACATGAATCAAATAATCCATCTTCTTCCCATTAATTGGAGAATGTTGCCTTGATCACCCACCAAATTCCCATATATGGAAATGATTTGCGTACCTTATCTTTTGAAAATGAGGCATTTGACACATATTATTGATTTTTCCAATGTTGAAAGCACTTTGCTTGAGGTTCAAAGTAGAAGCAGAAATAAAATAGGCCCAGTGCTTGTCTTTGAACATGAAAATGCCTTCTACTGAAGAGGGCAGGCTTCGAAGCAAGAGTGCCTGGCTGGCTTCCCAAGTAGTCCACTTGTAAAAGTGGTCACCTTAGATGCCCTTAAGTACATTACTCACCTCTCTGTGCTTCCATTTTTCTCTTATGCAAAACAGGATTGTAATAATAGTACCTATTTCATAGAGTTGATATCCCCTACAAGGATGTGTTCAGTGTTCCCACCAGCCAACCTCCCGCTGGTTGTGTAAGAAGCAAAGAATGGACCATGAGAATCCAATCTGTGCCTCCCTAGACTAGGTTCCCAGTCAACAGTGAATTTCTATCTTTATCCTTCTTATGAAATGTAGTCATTTTTTTCTGGTTTTTGCCACACTACAGAAAATGGAAAGTATTGTATGTGATAATTAAATAAGTGAATTGACATATAATATTTAACGTCGGGCTCAAAAGGAGGATGCAATAAACGCCAGCTACTGCTTAAACTTAGAGATAGAGTAGTTAAAGGTATAGACTGTGGAACTAGACTGCATGAGTTAGAATCCTTCTCCCCACACTTACTAGTTGAGTTAGCGAGTTAGCACCACTATGCCTCGGTTTCCTTTTCTATAAAATGGTGTAATAATAGCATCTAGTTCATAGGATTGTTGTAATTATCAAATACATTCATACCTGGAAGGGTGCCTGGCACATAGAAAATACAAAATATGTGATAGCTATTTTGACTACTCAAAGGATATCATTGCTTGATTTCAAACAATTGTCAGATCCTGCTTATTGATTAGAGGAGGATGGAGAACAATTTTGAGATGCTCGTGAGAAGCTTCCGTTATTGAGTCAAACAACTGAACAGGCAGAGGAATGGTGTGTTAGTCTGCTGAGGCTGCTATAACAAAATAAAGCAGACTGGGTGGCCTAAACAGTAGAAATGTATTTCTCACAGTTCTGGATGCTGGGGAGTTCAAGGTCAATGTTCCCACTTACCCACTTCCCAGTGAGAGCTCTCTTCCTTGCTTAAGGTGGCCACCTTCTCGCTGTCTGCTCACATAGCCTTTCCTCAGTTCACACATGGAGAGAAAGAGAGAGAAAGAGAGAGGGCTCTCTGACATCTCTTCTTGTAAGCACACTAATCCTATCCAATCAGGGCCTCACCCATATGATATTATTTATTTTTAATTACATCCTTAGAGGCACCCTCTCCAGATATTGCCATGCTGGTGGTTGGGGATTCAATACAGGAATTGTATTGAAGGAGCAGATAGTCTCTAAGACATCCTACCTCTAGCCTGTACATTATTCTTCATTTAGGAGGTAACAGCACTGGAATTCCAGAGGAGGGAGGAGTTACAGTAACCACGTGATTTTATTTACATACAAATATTAGACTTCACAATGACATTCACAGAGCTGAATTCAGTTTGGACCAGGTTGGCACTCCCTTTCAATTCTCATATGATTTGGAGTAAGCTCTTTGTCTTTTCACTGTTTTTTCATCAAAATGGCTGGATAAAGAAGGTATGCTTTGCATTTTTTTTTGTTTTCTCCTCAGTTATATCCAAATGCATTGTCATTGTCTTGACAATGAAAATCATTTTTAGTTTGACCAGGGCATTTTTCCCTTGATCATCCCACCACCTTCTAAACCAAGGGTAGATACTATGCGTGATCAAGGTGACCTAGAAGTCCACATGTGGCCTCTGAGTGCTGGATGTTGCATTTGGAGCTACGATTTAGCAGGTGGATATGTGTAATCATGCCCAGCCAATCAGCTCTTTGGAGACCCTGTAGTCACCGGGACCCTGTGGCATATGGTCTTCCACCAAAGGGCCTCATGTAACCTCAAGGACCACCCTACAGGGATGTGTTCAGTGTTTCCACCAGCCAACCTCCCTCTGGTCATGTAAGAAGCAGAGAAAGGACCTTGAGAATCCAATCTGTGCCTCCCTAGATCAGGTTCCCAGTCAACAGTGAATTTCTATCTTTATCCTTCTTACGAAATGTGGTCATTTTTTTCTAGTTTTTACCACACTATGGAAAATGGAGTCTTGCATATGAATGGTAACATGGATGTTATTTAAAAAACATCATTTACATTTCTTCTCTCCCAGACTCTCCCATTGCCTGCCAGTGGTTTGTTGATCTAGACTAGACAACGTACCTAAAAGGTAATTGGGAAAAAAATTCTAGGATGAGAAATGAATATTTTGAAAGTAAAATATGCATCTCAAACATGTAGCAAATGATAATTTATCTTTGAAAAAAAGCAATAGGTGTGTAACTCAAACTTCAGATTGACCCTAAATGAATTTTATGGGAGGATGAATTCAGTATAAAGATAGCCCAAATCCCCTCGGCTTTCTTGTCCCTATGGGTTTGGGAAGCTAGCATTTGGGGACTATCACCTCCTTCAACCAAGCCTGGACTTTCCTAATCATTTCTCTCCAGTTCTACTCATTGGAGGAACCAGAAAACACACACATCTATGCCTGTGTCCCTGGAAGGCCTGGGTGGGAATTAATGAATGGTTTTACTTGCATGTAACTATATATTACTTCCTGACCAGAGCTCTCTTTTTATTTCTGAGTGAGTTTTGTTATTTCAAACAAAATCTTGTCCACTGACGCAGACACGCAAACTGAATTTGGCTCCAAGAGAAACCGACACAACCAGTGAGCGTTAAGATTGTAGGCCAGGTGTTGTGGCTCACGCTTGTAATCCCAGCACTTTGTGAGGCCAAGATGGGTGGATCACCTGAGGTCAGGAGTTTGAGACCAGCCTGACCAACATGGTGAAACCCCATCTCTACTAAAAATACAAAATTAGCCGGGCAGGGTGGCCCCTGCCTGTAATCCCAGCTACTTGGGAGGCTGAGGCTGGAGAATCTCTTGAACCCAGGAGGCGGAGGTTGTGGTGAGCAGAGATCGCGCCATTGCATTCCAGCCTGGGCAACAAGTGTGAATCTCCATCTCGAAAAAAAAAAAAAGATTATAAATTCACACAGTAGATAGGAAGGGAGGCCTTTGGTTTCAAAACTGGCTGCAGCATGCGTTGACTTTTGTCTTGCTTGACTCATGTTGCCTTTTCCTTGAAATTTCTTGAATTGAAGCAGTAACAAAATAGCCATGGAGCCTGGTATTATTTTGTTGTGTTTGTCAACATGACCTAATCCTATAACCCCAGCTCTAGGGTAAAGACGATGTGTGAAGATACTATATTCAGCTTATGCTGAATGGGGGGGAAGTCTCTCTTTTATTGCTTTTCTTGAATGAATCATGTTCCTGTATTTATTGGAATTTGAGTAGTCAGGTGACTGTGTGTTCTCTGTTTGTGTTGCCACAACCAAGAGGCAAATAATTAAGAGCCTAGGAACTATATTGACAATATTACATTACATAACATCCGCTGACCCATAAGCAAAATGCCTTCAATTGCAAAACCCTTTGAGGCCTCATTCCTAAGCCTGAGTGAAGAAGACTAGCATTTTTCTCATGTGTTGCTCAGCTGTGACAAGCCAGAAGAGATACAGAACATTGCCACTGACTCAGGCTTCAAGGTTTTGTGAGAAAAACATAGCCTGCCAGACCTCGCAAGGCTAAAGAGAGCCACAAAAGACTCACTTGTTAATTGGGGAGATGCCAGGAACAAGAATTTTTCCAAATATCTCACCAGCAATACCTTTTATTTATTTATTTTTCAAATTTATGAATGACAGAGAACAAGAACTATAACACAAGCTCGTTTCTCTCCCTAGAAGAAACAAAGAAGCAGCAAAGAGCTTGGATGTGAAATGCCTGACTATTTGCACATGAAAGAGCCGCGGCAGATGGTGAGAGGTCTCCATAGGCTGAAAGATGAGTGTGCAGCAGTTTAGAAAGCCAGTAGCAAACAAGCAACACCATGCACACCACAGAGGCCCAAAGAAGCAGTTAGCTGGGACAGAGGATGCGACTGGAGAAATACTGGGGCCAAAACTTAAAATATTTTTTCAGTTACAGAGGGTGGAGGGGGGAAGTGAGGATGTTTAATGGGTACAAAAAAATATAGTTAGAAAGAATGAATTAGACCTACTTATTCAGAGGTCCAAGGAAGTCATTCGCTGGGACAGAGGCTGCAACTAAAGAAATACTGGGGGAAAAAACTTTAAATTTTTTTTTCAATCACGGGGGGTTGGGGAGAGGTGGGGATGTTTAATCAACACAAAAACATAGTTATAAAGAATGAATAAGATCAGGTCCGGTGGCTCACGCCTGTAATCCCAGCACTTTAGGAGGCTGAGGCGGGCATATCACTTGAGGTCAGGAGTTCAAGACCAGCCTGGCCAACATGGAGAAACCCTATCTCTACTAAAAATACAAAAACCAGCCAGGTGTGGTGGCACGTGCCTGTAATCCCAGCTACTCAGGAGGCTGAGGCAGAAGAATTGCTTGAACATGGGAGGTGGAGGTTGCAGTAAGTCAAGATTGTGTCATTGCACTCCAGCCTGGGCGACAGAGTGAGACTACATCTCTAAAAAAGAATGACGTGAACCCAGGAGGCGGAGCTTGCAGTGAGCCGAGATCGCGCCACTGCACTCTGGCCTGGGCGAAAGAGCGAGACTCCGTCTCAAAAAAAAAAGAGAGAGAATTAATAAGACCCACTATTATTTGATAGCACAACGGGGTGACAATAGTCAATGATAATTTCATTGTACATGTTAAAATAACGAAAAGACTATAATTGCATTGTTTATAACACTAAAGATAAATGCTTGAGGGGTTGGACACCCCATTCTCCATGATGTGATCATTACACATTGCATGCCTGTATCAAAACGTCTCATGTACCCCGTAAATATATACACCTACTATGGACCCACGAAAATAAAAAGTTGAAACAATTTTCAATTACATAAAAGAAATAAAGTTGGTGTTTTAAAACTGAAAAGAGCAAATATCTGTAACCTGAGGGCAGGCATAATGTACAGTTTTTAACCTTTCAGTTGTTCAGAATCCTTGTGAGAAAATAAATCTAGTGATCGTATAGTTTGTGCTATGTGCAATTCACTGTCTTAGGTCTTGAGTGTGTGTGTGTGTGTGTGTGTGTGTGTGTGTGTGTTTGTGTGTGTGTGTGTGTGTGTGTAGCTAGATCAGCATAGGGATAGAGTGCAGGGAAGTCAGAAGAGAGGAAACACAAGCCTTACCTTCTATTATTGCACATCTTACTGCCTTGATGGGAAACATCATAAAGACGTGAGGATGAAGACTGCGTCTGGAAAGACCAGATCCACCAAAGCATATCCATACAGAGTAACCTGAAAACCTCAGTTCCTTGAATCTCCTTTGGAAGAAGATGGAACATTGATCTATTCATTAATTTTATTAACAAAGTGACTGAGGTTGAGTACTGGGGACAGAGGTCCAGAGTATATAGACCTGGGATCTTCTCTGAAGTACTTCAGTGCTCTCACCTCCCATCTTCCTGGGGAAAGGCAAAAATTGAAGATCCAGCAAAGTGGCTTTGAGATACAGGTGGGGAGTAAACTTCTTCTCTTGCGTCCATTCTCACACTGCTATAAGGACATACCTGAGACTGGGTAATTTATAAAGGAGAGAGGTTTAATGGACTCACAGTTCCATGTGGCTGGAAAGTCCTCACAATCATGGAGGAAGGCAAAGGAGGAGCAAAGTCACATCTTACATGGTGGCAGGCAAAAGCAAAAACTGCCCTTTATAAAACCATCAGATCTCATGAGACTTACTATCACAAGAACAGCAGGGGAAAACCCTGCCCCCACGATTCAGTTACCTCCCACGAGGTCCCTCCCACAACATGTGGGGATTATGGGAGCTACAATTCAAGATGAGATTTGGGTGGGGACACAGCCAAACCATATCACTTGGCATTGGAGGGGACAGTTTCTCCTGACAATGAGTCACAGGGAGCTCTGAGCCTCAAGGGTGCTGGGTGTGCGTGGACTGCCCCTGTTCAGTGGACACTGCCCAGGTATCAAATAGGATGCTGGCTGTGTAGAAGACTCTAGCTTGGATCCACACTCGTAGAGAAATTTTGATTTTTTTTTGGAGTATCGTTGAACCTAAAGTTTAGCCATATGAAAACTTTTCCACTGGCCTCAGCTGTGTTTTGGGAAATTAGGGCAAGGCTGTGGACTCTTAGGACAGAGTCATGCAGGGGAGAAAAAGCAGCGTCCGTTTTCCTGAATCCACACTGGGAAAGTCACAGTGCTGGGGCAGGGGAGGTGACCTCTCCAGGGTCAGCAGCCACAGAAGAGGTGGCAAGGCCATAATAGTGAGATACAAAGGCCAGAGACAAAGAACCAGGGTGGTTTGTTTCAGAGCATGCTGAAGATAGGGCCTCCAGAAGTGCTGAGAAACCACAGGGGTCTTTTTTGTTAAGAGACAGAGTCTCACTCTGTCATGGAGGCTGGAGTGCAGTGGTGCGATCAGAGCTCACTGCAGCCTCAAATTCCTTGGCTCAAGAAATCATCCCACCTCACCCTCCCAAGTAGCTAAAACTGCAGGTACCTAGCTAATTTTTAAAAAAAAATTTTGTAGGGACAGGGTCTCACTCTATTGCCGAGGCTGGAGTGCAGTGGGGTGATCATAACTCACTGCAGCCTGGAGCTCCTGGGCTCAGGTGATCCTCCTGCGTAGCTGGGACACCTGTACCACCACAATCCACTAGTTTTTTCATTTTTTTGTAGAGACGGGATCTTGCTATGTTGCCCAGGCTGGTCTCAAGCTCCTTCCCTCAAGCAATCCTCTTACCTCACCTCGGCCTCCCAAAACACTTTCATTATAGGCATGAGCCACCATGCCCAGCCACAAGGGTCTTTTTGATGGAGGTGGATGGGGGCCATAACAATCAACAAAGCAAGTGTAACCTTCCTTCCAAGTCAAAGATGGGCAGCTACTAGGCAATAGGGGTGAAAAATTAATAACTAAAACCACGTTCTCCTGGAAAGTAAAGTGAGGCACTTACCAGAGTTGGCAGAGGATAGGTAGGCAAGGGAAAATGGGCAAGGTGTATTGGAAGCTCAGTTCTAGGGAGGTGAAGGGCATGGAAAATGAGAGCATTCCAGCTTCCACTGGGGGTAGATCAGCAGGGCTGGGCTGTGCTGATAGTAAAGCTTTAAGATTAACATGGTTTTCAGGCTGCACAAGGTGCCCCCTGCACACCCTTGCCCCGTAATCCTCATGTTGTGAGAGGTGTTTGTTTACAGGGAAGGAGAATTACTCACAGGGATCTCACCCTCCTTTGCACAGAACATCAGCCATGCTCCACCATCAGGGATCAGTGCCAAGGGTCTATGCTAATACACCATTCTGTAGAAACAACAGGTGTATGACCTCTTTTCCTCACAGTTATTAACCTGAGAGAGAAAACAAATAAATCACTGCACAGTGTTTTTGTGGTCCTGGCCCCACCATCTCCGTAGAAACCCTTCAAAACGTTTGCTCACGTAGTCTGGGAGCACTTAGGAGGATGTCTAAGGTATGGATGTGGTTTGGATGTTTGTTCCCTTCAAATCTCTTATTGAAATATGATCCGCAGTGTTGGAGATGGGGACTGGTGAGAGATGTTCGGGTTGTGGGGATAAATCCCTCATGCATGGCTTGGCACCCTCCTTGCAGTAAAGAATGAGTTATCACTCTATGAGTTACGGCAAGATCTGAGTGTTAAAAAAGAGCCTGGTGGCTGAGCGCAGTGGCTCATACCTATAATCCCAGCACTTTGGGAAGCCGAGGTGGTTGGATCACTTGAGGTCAGGAGTTCAAGACCAGCCTGACCAACATGGTGAAACCTCATCTCTACTAAAAATACAGAAAAAAAAATAGCCAGTTATGGTGGTGAGCACCTGAAATCCCAGCTACTCGGGAGGCTGAGGCCGGAGAATCACTTGAACCTGGGAGGCGGAGGTTGCAGTGAGCCAAGACTGTGCCATTGTGCTCCAGCCTGGGTGACCAGAGTGAGACTCTGTCTCAAAAAACAAAAAGAAAAGAGCCTGGCACCTCCTCCCCACTCTCTTGCTTCCTCTCTTGCCATGTCATGCTGGCTCCCCTTCTTTTCTGCCATGAGTAAAAGCTTCCTGAGGCCTCACTAGAAGCCAAGCAGATGCTGATGCCATGCTTGTACAGCCTGCAAAACTGTAAGCCAAATAAACCTCTTTTCTTTATAAATTACCCAGCTTCAGGTACTCCTTTATAGCAATGCAAAGCAGACAGATACAGCTGTGTGTATGAGCTTCTTGTGGCTGCCATAACAAAACACTGCAAACCAGGTAGTTTAAGACAACAGAAATTTATTCTTTCACAGTTCTGGAGGCTGAAAGTCGAAAGTCAAGGTCTCCTCAGGGTTAGTTCCCTCTGGAGACCTCAAGGGAGAGTGTGTTCCATGCCCCTCTCCTAGTTCTGGTGGTTGCCAGGCATACTTGGCATCCATTGGCTTGTAGACACTTCACTGCCATCCCTGCTTCCATTGGCCCATGGTGTTCTTCTCTCTGTGTCTGTCTCTGAGTCTCCTCTTACAAGAATACCAGCTATACTGCATTAAGGGCTTACCCTACTCCAGTGTGACCTCATGTTACCTTAATTACATCTGCAACCACCCTATTCCCAAATAAGCTCACATTCTGAGATTCTGGGAAGGACATTAATTGAGGGTGAGACACTATTCAATTCAGGATGCCATGCAAATGCAATGCCGTGGATCTCTCAGCAGCTACCTGGCATCTGCGATCTCCTCCTGCCCTGCTCAGGGCCCTTTCCTGAAGAGACGCTTACTGCATAGGCTGCCGAGGTGCCATGAAAGCTGCTAGTGCTCTGTGCCAGACTAGGCTGCCCACGGGACACTAGAACTGCAGTCTCACCTCTCTCTCCCAGGGCCAACCCTGCCATGAAAGAGCCTGTCACCTGTCACTGCTGCTCCCCAGGCTGCTGAATCTGCCAGTGTCAACCATGGAGGTTTCAGGGAAGCAGCTCTTCTCTGTGTTCTGAGCATTTCATTTCCAGCTCCTCTTCCTGCAATCCAAGTGGGCACCAACGGGACAGAGTACAGAGAACAAGCTGAGTGGCAGGCTTATCCTTGCGCTCACCCCGGCGTCCTTGGTTTTCTCTTATGGAACGTGATTCTCTCCTCCTTTGGAATTATTTTCAGGACACCTGGCAGGGCTGTGCCATAGATACTCTCAAGAATGCTAAGATAGATCTAAACCCCAGGATGAACATTAGAGATACGGTTGGAATATTCCTGTGGCTGAGCATATAAGCATGACCTGGGAGTGTAGCTTCAGAGAAGGGACAGGGTGTGATACTCGGTAAGGAGAGGCTGCCCCAAGGTGGAAAAGATAAAAAATCAGTTAAAGCACAGAGAAAGAGAGCATCGAAAGGCTAGATACTGCATTTTGGTTAGGCTATTAAATACTTCCCGATTCTACAATTCTCTGACACCAGCCGGGTGTCCAACAATGCCTTTGCAATCCTGACACCTTCTATCTGGAATCAGTGTCAGATCCCCCAAGTAAAGGGCTCAGGACACAAGACTGCCAGTGGCAAGCCTGGGCCTCCTGTACTTCAAAATGGCAATAAATTAGGGGGTCCCACATCCCCTCCTCAGTTTCAGTCATTTGCTAGAATGACTTGCAGAACTCAGGGAAAGGCTTTGCTTATGTTTACCAGTTTATTATAAAGAAGCAGCCAAATGGAAGAGGTGCACTGGGCAGGGCATGCGGGAGGGCGTGGAGCTGCTAGGCCCTTTCTGGGTACACCCCCTTGCAAGGACCTCCATGGGTTCACCCACTTGGAAGCTCTCCAAAGCCTGTCCATTAGGGGTTTTATTGGAGTTTCATTACATAGGCGTGGTTGGTTAAATCATTGGCCATGAGTGATGGATTCAATCCGTAGGCCCCCTGCCCTCCCTGGAGGTCAGGGAGTGGGATTGAAACTCCCAACCCTCTAATTACATCTTGGTCCTTCTGGTGACCAGCCCCCACCCCCAAGCTACCTGGAGCCTCCCTTAACGATCTTATGAGCCAATCTTACTAGCATACAGAAGACAGGAGCCCTGTACCAGGAACTGGGTACAGAGACCAAATATTTATTTTTTATTATACCACAATGGTAATTTGTATTTTATTAGGTCTTTCATCATCTCTATTAGTCTTTACAATAACCAGAGCATCACTTTCCAGCTCTAAGCCTCAGTTTTACCATCTGCAAAATGGGGTAATAATCATACCTACCTCACAGGGTCCTGTCCTAATTAAATGAGTTAATTCACTGAAAGTCCTCAGGACAGCAGCACCTGGCACAGGGAAACAGTTTGGTGAGTGAGAGCAGTCACTGCTTAATGTGTCTTTGCTTTCTACCAGGCACTGTCCTGAGTGCTTTATGTGTATTAATTCATTTAATCCTCACGATAACTCAGTGAGAAGAATGTCATTAGCCCCATTTTATAGATGGAAAAAACGGAGGCATAGCAAAGGTAGGAAACTGCCTAACATCATGCAGTGTGTAAGTGATGGTGCCAAAGCCTACAGTCAAAGGCAGCTCTTGCCTCCGTGTCGTAGGTGCTCAGTAAATATTGTCGACGTGAGAATATGAACTAGACGGAAGTGCGGCAAGTGTGCAGGATCAGACAACTGCAAAAAGACAGTCAACGCGTAAAAGCCAAAATTTTCCTTATTTTATTTTATTTTGTTTTATTTGAGATGGAGTCTCACTCTGTTGCCCAGGCTGGAGTGCAGTGGCATGATCTTGGCTCACTGCAACCTCTGCCTCCACGGTTCAAGCGATTCTCCTGCCTCAGCCTCCCAGGTAGCTGCGATTCTAGGCGAGCGCCACCATGCCTGGCTAATTTTTGTATTTTTAGTAGAGACAGGGTTTTGCCATGGTGGCCAGGCTGGTCTCAAACTCCTGACCGTTTTCCTCATTTTAATCAAATCTTTCCACAGTAAGACTCAACTCTGAAACGGATAAAATCCAACTGCCTCTGAGGAAATTTGAGAGGAAAAAAATATTTACTTTACGACATTATGAATTATGCAGCTATGGAAGGACACAGTTGGGCTGACCTCTTTCCTAATACACTGAAACCCAAACTGTGGGGAATTCCAGTTTTTAAAAGGTCGGAGTCCACCTCTGGTCCCTAAAGATCTTGAATACTTGCCAGTGCATTGCTCCTGACTTCCTGTTCTCAACCTGTTTGGAAAACCCCACCTAGTGCGAAATTCTATGCCTCACCATTAATTACTTACATGGACAATGATCTCCTCATCCCCCAAATCCCCACTGTGCATATGTAATTATAATCGGTTTAATTGCTCTGTTTATTACCATCTTCATTTTTATCTGAAAAAGGTATGAGAAAAGTCTCAGCTGCTCTTATCCTGGTTCTGTAATGAACTGAACAGGCCACATCCCTAGATCAGGAGTACAGCAGTAGACACAGCCAAGACTTTTTTCCCACAGTGACTTACTTCTCAACTTCTTATTACATGATTCTCCAAGCCTCTGGAGTTCCTGAACACAGAACTCTGGTGGCTGCAATCCTTCCAAGCATCCTGCTTTTTGTGCTACACGTGGGTTTTCCACATTTTGCCAATAAGACACTTTGTTGTTACAGGCCCATCCTACTCCCACCATATTTCATTTTATTTTCTATTCTATTCTATTCTATTCTATTCTATTCTATTCTATTCTATTCTATTCTATTCTATTCTATTCTATTCTATTCTAATCTATTCTATTTTATTTGAGACAAGAGTCTCGCTCTGTCACCCAGGCTGGAGTGCGGTGGTGCGATCTCAGCTCACTGCAACCTCCGCTTCCCAGGTTCAAGCGATTATCCTGCCTCAGCCTCCCAAGTAGCTGGGACTACAGGTGCCTGACACCACGCCTGGCTAATTTTTGTATTTTTAGTAGAGACAGGGTTTCACCATGTTGGCCAGGCTGGTCTTGTACTCCTGACCTCAAGTGATCCGCCTGCCTTCGCCTCTCAAAATGCTGTGATTACAGGCATGAGCCACCACACCCGGCCCACCCACCATATTTCTCAGCAAACTTAAGGCATGTCTTAGTGATGACTAGGAAGAGCCCTATTCTGTTTACAAAAATTATTGTTTTTACTACTGTGAAATTCTGGCATAATGTTGTAATGTAGTGGGGAGTTCCCAAAAAATCAGTCCCACAAAATGAGACGACGTGCTATTAAGAGGAAAATGAAGCAAATAGGCAGTTACAAAGTTTGCTGGCCAGATTTTGCAAAGTTCCTGCTTCCCGGTCCAAATCCATTCCAGTCCCAGCAGTCGTGTGCTCTGGCTTGACTATCCATGGGGACCACTCCGGGTCCTGTCACTGGCTGGGATCTTCAGGGCAGTGGAATCAGTCCTAGTGATATCTTGGTACGGTGCTGCCTTCTTTAGCCTAGCTCAGAGCAACCGCCTTTATTTCCACCCTTTCTTCTCCTCCACAAGATCTCTACCGCCTCCCACCTTGTCTTGGGTTCTTACTGATTAACAAAACAGACAATGATATCTATTTTTTATTGAGTGACTATGTGCTGGGCTGTGCGCTAAATGCCTTATACATTTGTTGTTAAATGGTAGAAATGGCTCTATGCAGTGGAAATTGTCCCTATTTGGTGGTGAAGAAAGCCAAGACCTAACTTCAATAGTCTACACAGGCCCTGCAGCTGGGAAGCGCAATGACACAATTCTGACTCCACTCTGAATAATTCCAGGGCCTCCTCCTATTCCAAGTCACCGCTTTGCCACTCACTGGGGTTAAAACCCCAAAGGGTTCCATTCTCCCATACTTCCTGGACTTGGAAGTCCCTCAAAAGAAAGTATTTCTAAGATGAAAAGTACTTTGCAGACGTGAAGTTTCACTTTTCAGTCTACAGTCAGTTTTGTTTCCTGGATTATTGAGGACTAGTACAATGGGGCTCTTCTTTGGGTTCTGGGAACAGGAGGAGGAGAGAAATTTACAAGAATATGTAAGTTATCTTCCCCATCAGCTGATAATCAGCTGGTGAGCATTAAAGATTGTACAGATTAAAGATTGCCTAGAGATCCTATCAATCCTCCATCAGCCTCTGGCCTCTTAAATGACTGAAAATGATGGAAATGTGTGTGGATCACATACCAGTAGGCAGGCCTCTGAGGACCTTTCTTGCACCTTCCTTTCATACCCAGACCATAGCAACCGTGTTACTGTTTGGGAGATTCACTGTGAGGTACCAGCCGATTAAAACCAGAGCACATCAGGTACCGTGGGCAATATCACACCCACGTAACCTTCTTGGTTCTTCTTTTCCACCAAGCAAGACCATCAATAAAAGCAAAATTCCAAAGGATAGAGACGGTAAAATGAAGCAATTTGCATTGGTGAATTTCCATCACAGTCTATTCTTTACTCAATGAATCTATTTCATGGAATTGCCATCGTGGCACAAGAGTCATCAAAATTGTCCCCATGCCTCACAGAGAGTCATTCTTTCACATTCTGAGAGTTATATTGGAGGTGGAGGCCTGAGCACCCCATCTTCTGACAAATCAGGACTGTGGACAACATGGCCCCAGGATGTAACTCCACACATGATAAAGACTCTGCCCTTTCTTTTGTCCAGATGATGTCCAGCGACCAGCCCTAGGAGGGACCAGCGACTCCCATGCCTCACAATGGTGGGAGTTAGCACTGGATGGGAATTTTATATCCTCATGTGTGGATTAACTTAGATTTTCCTCATCAGAGCAGCCACAAAACCATTTCCTTACCCAGTCTTCAGGCTGCTCCAGGGCAAAGCCAGGCAGAACACTAAATCCCTGTCCATCAAAGCATTACAGCCGTGAGCACCATCACGTCAGGGGTTTGATCATCATTCTGAACAAACAGAAATGATTTTCTCTATTAAGTCAGGAACCAGAAAGGCTGCAACCAGGGATAAGATCACCAGCAAAACAGTAGAGTTGAAAATTACCTCTACCTTGGCATTAAGAATATTAAAATAATTCTACCTTTCATTTTCTTAAAATGTCATCAAATTAGGCATTTTGGGCTCAGTTGACCTGGAAATGAGTTTTCAAAATATTAGTTGTGGAACAGCTTTGTATCTTGCCGTATGGTTTTTTATATTATAGAACATTCCTACAGCATATACATGAGTGGAAAAGAAGAAAATAGTGGCTCCTTTTATTACATTAACAAACTTTCAGCTCTAGGTTTTATATAGAGAAAAGTGTCACAACTCCTTATCACTGTAAATCACTAGAGCAGTAGTGACTGTAAGGTCCAATTGTGTTTTAAATAAGTACTTGAATTATTTTAACAAATCATTTAACAAATGTTGAGGAAAGTGAGTCAGAATTTGTGAGCATGATAGAATATATCAAAGCTGATGGTCCCAAAAGGCCTATTGTATTTGATTAGTAAAATGTGAAAGTATATTTCAATAATCAAATGTATTTATTTAAATAAATTCTGTTTTAGTACATTTGATCATTGAAATATACTTTTCAATACATACATATTGATAATATGTAATATGTATAATATGAATACATATGTATAACATTGAATAATATGTATGTATTGAATAATATGAATACATATGTATAAAATTGAATATGTATTAATACATTAAATATGATAATTATAATATAGTTTTACTATCATAATTATACCATATATAATATGATATATAATTATATGTGATATATATATTTGTAGGCAATTATATATAATACATATCTATTCTATATAATTATATCATATATAATATGATTATAGATATATATTATACTTTACATTATATATGTCTGGTAGACAATTATATCTAATATAATATGATAAATATTATAATATAATTATATCATATATAATATAATATAAATATGACATAATTATATCATAAGAATGTGATTATAATTATTGTATATCATCTTATACATAATTATAGTAATATATTTTATTGTATATAAAAATATGTAATAGTAATATGTATTCACATACATATTATTCAATAACGATACATATTTATGGTTATATCTTAAATGTTTTATAATAAATGTGTTTAAAGTATATAACTCACCATGAAAGGGGGCAAAGTGTGTGCGTAATAGACATGTCAGCAGTGGACATTAAGAGAGCGAGTACCCACACCTTGCTGAACCTAGGGAAAGCTTCATGAAGACAGTGGCATCTGAACACCTTGAAAAAGCGGTACAGTGTTAGTGGGAAGAGGTCAAAGTGAGAACACACCAGATGTTGCACACCAGGTGGAAAGGCAAAGGTGTGCTGAAGGAGGAGCAAGCAGTTTTGCTAGGCTACAGTGTAAGTCACATGAAGTCATGATGGCAGAAGGACCAGGGAATGGCCAGGCATAGTGGCTCACTCTTCTAATCCCAGCAGTTTAGGAGGATCATTCGAGTCCAGGAGTTCAAGACCAGCCAGGGCAACATAGATAGGCCCTGTCACTACAAAAATAAGCAAAATTAGCTGGGCACGGTGGTGGGTGCCTGTAGTCCCAGCTACTCGGGAGGCTGAGGTGGGAAGATTACTTGAGGCCAGGAGTTTGAGGCTGCTCACCACAGCATTCCAGCCTGGGTGACACAGTGAGACCCTATCTCAAGAAAAAGAAAAAGGGGCCAGAGAATGTAGCCTGACTGGCAAAGGTATCGCTGAATTCAATCTGGTAGACGAGAGATAGGCATTGGATATTCTTCAGCAGAGCAGTGTTGTGGTTGAAAACAATGTTCTATGAAGGTTATGGTGGTAGCTGTATTACTTTCTTAAGCCTCCCATAACAAAATGTCACAAACTGGCTGGCTTAAAACAACAGAAATCTGTTCTTCCACAGTGCCCAAGTCTAGAAGTATGAAATTGAGGCCTCAGCAGAGCCCCACTGCCTCTGAAGGCTCAGGAGAAATCTGTTCTGTGCCCTCTCCCAGCTCCTGCTGCTTGCCAGCAGTCCTTGGCATTCCTGGGCTTCTAGATGCCTCTTCCAATGTGCCTCTGTCCTCATATGGTGTTCTTTCTATGTGTCTGTGTCCAAATTCACTCTTCGTAGAAGGGCTAGTCATATTGGACTTAGGGCCCACCCTAATCCAGGATGATCTCATGTTAACTTGACATGTACAAAGAACCTATTTCCAAATAAGGTCACATTCATAGGTTTTACCAGACAGGAATGGGGGTCAGGGAGCCACTATTCTAAATAGTGAAGCAGCCAAATGCAGAAAGAATTAGAGAAGGAAAAGATGGCAATAGAGAGATCAGCAAAGAGCCACACGGCTAAAACAATAGAGCTCAAACAACAGTAACAACACTGTGGGAAGTAAAGGGGCGACAGGAAAGAGAATGTAAAAGGTAGAATCAACTGGGTTGGACAACTGATTTGAAATTGGAGAGCAGAGACGTTAAAGATGACCCAAAGGGCAGGACACAGTGGTTCATACCTGTAATCCCAGCACCTAGGGAGTTTAAGGCAGAAGGATCACTTGAGGACAGGAACTGGAGACCAGCCTGGGCAACACAGTGGGACCCCATCTCTACAAATAAGTTTTAATAAATAGCCAGGCATGGTGGCATGTGCCTGTAGTCCCAGCTATTCAGGAGAATGAAGTAGGAAGAATGCTTGAGTCCCACAGTTCGAAGTTATAGTGAGCTGTGATTGCACCACTTCACTGCAGTCTGGGCGAGAGGGCAAGACCTTGTCTTAAGAAAAAAAAAAGATGACCCAGAGATCTGGGACCGGACACCTAGTTGAATGATGGTACCACTAACCTAGGTAAGGCAGTGGAAAGCTGCAGCTAGTTTGATGAGAAGTCAATTTGATTTTGTGTCTTCTATTGTAATGCTGATGGATGGCGTCGTTGTCTGTGCCTGTCCAGGCAGCTGTGCAGTCGAGGCTGGAGTGATGGACAGAAGTTAGAGCAGGTGCTGGGGAGTGAGAAATCATCCAGCCAAAGGAAACAGAGAAATCCTCATCAGAGTGGACAAGTTTCCAGACAGTGAGAGGACAGGAGAGGGGAGAAGGGAGAATTTTGACAAATACCTCAACTGCACATCAGAGAGGAATAGAGGAGATGAAATGGGAGAATTCAAGAAATCAGTGGGCAGGGAGTGAAATTGGTAAAGGAAGGAAAAAAAATTTGTGGATAAATCATGTGATTTAATCTTGTTATAAAATATAAATACACATTCTCAGACATTTCCTTTGAGTATCACCTTTATATCCACACAACACACATCAAATTTTAGAATTCCTTCAGAACTAACATGGGACATATGGCTAGAATTTCTCATAAAAAAATCCCTCAGAAATATATTTGTATTGAATTCTCAGCAACTTTAATGTTAAATGTGCACACTTTTTGGTGAAGAAAATGTTTTTGTCAACACATAGATAACATGGTAACCTTCTGGAAGTAAAAGGATGCTTTAAAAAATTTTTTCTCTCTCTCCTCTCCCATCTCTACACCTGGAAGATCTGAACATTTTCTAAGTGTCTGATGAAAATATATAGATTTTTGTCATGAGGATTGTACAGGTTGATTTTCTCTTTCTGCACCAGGGAGAATTCAGTACTGAGTTTTGTTTCGAAATGAATTTCTTTTTTTTTTTTTTTTTTTTTTTTTGAGATGGAGTCTTGCTCTATCACCCAGGCTGGAGTGCAGTGGTACGATCTTGGCTTACAGCGTCCCGAGTAGCTAGGATTACAGGTTTGCACTACCACGCCCACCTAATTTTTTTTGTATTTTTAGTAGAGGTGCAGTGTCACCATATTGGCCAGGCTGGTCTCAAACTCCTGACCTCGAATGATCCACCCATCTCGACCTCCCAAAGTGCTGGGATTACAGGCATGAGCCACTGCGCCGGCCTGTTTTCAAATAAATTTCTTATCTAAGTATAACCTGTGCTCAGGAAAGAGCACAAATCACAAGTACACCTTCGTAAATACCCACAAAGTTGTTTGAAATGCCTGTTCTTCGGTGCCGTGAAGAAAAAGCACTTGAACATAAATTTAATTTCCTCAGCAAGGCCATTTTTATACTTTCTGCAGAAAGGGTACATTCGCCAGCAGTTTTGCCACAAGAGTACACTGAACAAAGGAGCCAGCGTTATTTATAACTTGACGCGTCCACTTTACTGCTGTGTCTGGTTTCTATTGGCTGGAGCGGGACCTCACATTCTGTATTTGTCCTGATTGGCCTGTAACTTAGAACTTTTTAAAAGAGGCAAAGGCAGAGGAGAACAAAGGAAGGAGGAAGTAACTTGTGGAATACTGAGAAAGGTAAAAACAACTTCAAATAAGGAAGAGGAACAGGCTATGACCTAATGCTTGCTTGGACCAGTATAAGCGTGCCAGGGCAAATATTTAGGCTACATGGTGGGAGCTAAGAACATAAAGTACATCGATTTCTTTATTACGGCTAGCAGACATTTAAAAATGTTAGCACAGGTCTTTGAATACATTTTGCTTCTGAGAGAAGTTTCTGTTTATTCCTAATTAGACGGGGAGGAAAATTTTTGAAGAGAAACCTCTACTTTACTTTTCACAAAGTGAACCTACTGGAATAAGGATCTTGCAGTAGAGCATCACCAGCACCCTGCAAGCTCCCTGTGCTCGTTTCAGTCACTGTCTCCCTCCCTCCACAAACATAGCCCCTGTTCTGACTTCTACCAGCATAGTTGAGTTTTCTCTGTTTTTGAACCTTATATAAACATAAAGACACAATTCATATTTGTTTGTGTCTAGCTTCTTTTACTCAAAAATACTTATAAGATTGATCCATGCTGTTGAACTCAACAGTGGTCCATTCCTTTTCATTGCTATATTTTATCCCATTATACGATTCTACCTTATGCGTAGACTACACATTTATTTGTTCTACCTCTGATGAACATTTGGATCATTTTCATTTTGGAGCTGTTATGAATAGTCCTGCTATGAAAATCCCTGGTCACGCCTTTTGGGGCTCATATGGACTCATCTGTTTTGGGTATACGCCTAGACGCAGAACTTATTTGTAAACGTTTCCTGATTTTAACTCTTGTTTGACAAAATAGCTCAAGTATGGAGATCACAGTATGTTTCCCTTTTGGTGGCAGAAAATGAAACTAATTTGTAAACAGACAAAAGGACATTAGTCAGAATTTTCATGATGACAAGTTAAGCTGTAAAATAAAAATGTTGAAATATTGGAAACTACAACAAAGCAAAGCTTTTTGAAGAATGTCATGAGAAACGCCTTTTGAAAAAAGAGATAAGGAACCAAGTTAGACTCCCTTAAAAGCAGCTCAGAAGAATTTGAGGCACAGAAAGAGCTCTGTTTTCTTTGAAGAAAGCAGAAGTGTTTGACATGTGCTCTGATTGTCCAATTTCAGCAAGAAAACTAAAAAACAAAACAAAGAAGAAGAAACGAGTATAACCCCATATACTCTACGACTTTTTCAAAGTACTGCAAGTTGCCATTTTAAAAGCTTCATTATGATAAAATAAGTCATTTTGCTTTCTCTCAGGGGAGTTATATAATTCCTTTGATTAAGAGGAAGTAGAGCAGTTATTCCACTCCAAAATCCTGGCACTTGCTACTTTGCAGCCTGGAGAAATAGATTTCTCTGGGCTTGTGGGTAATAGACGTTTTGCCTTCCTTCTTCTCACACCCTGTATATTTCTTTTTCAACCACCTTCCCTTCAACACCTCATTAAATGGAACACCTGTGTACATGAAGCCAAAACCACTGTATCCACTGCAGGCCTAAGCTGGCGTCTCCGTCTTATTTCCTCTGGAGAACACATTTGCAGAGAGGGAAGGAGAAACTGAGACAGTCTATGGTTTCTGAGGAGTACTCATCCTGTTAATAAGAAGTAAATAAGAAGGAGAACCCTAACTGCAGGTGGAAAGTCTAGATTCTGGTCGCAGGCACCATGCATGGCCTTCAGCAAACAGGCCAAGTAAGGCCAAAGTCCCTGGGGCCTGTTCCTTTATCTCCAAAATGCAGTTAGTCTCAGATGAATGTTACACTCCTCCCAGAGTTAAAGAATTGCATCATTCTCTGTTTTTTTGCAAGAACATTAACTTCAGCTAAATTCCTTCAGTACCATTATTGAGTCTCTCCATTACACAATGGAGATGCTATTAAGATTATCTTGTAAATGAATACCAAACATTTTCCAGAAACCACCCCTACAGCCCTGCTACACACACTTCTTACCCAGCTTTGCTTCCCCACAAGAACTTTCTCTGTTTCATTCAACAGAAGAAGGATTTTCTCTCGGTGACAGGGAGCAAGTGACTGTTCACAAAAATTAGAATGTTGTACACACACAAGCCCAGTGTAGCAGTGATTATCACTGACCCCGGAGCCAGAGGCTTGCATTCCTATTCAGGCTCTGTCATTCGACTGGCTGTGTGACTCTGAGCCAGTGACTTAACCTCTCTGTTCCTGAGTTTCTCCATCTGTAAAACAAGGATGGTAAAAATAATTAAGCACCATATGGGCTGTTGTGAGGATTAAGTAAGTTCATATTTCTAAGGCACTTGGAACAGTGCCTAGCACAAAGCAAAGATTAGATGAGATGACAGATAAATGGATAGATACATACATACATACTCACATACATACATATATGAACCCCAAATATCTGAGACAGGTCTCAATTTAGGAAATTTATTTTGCCAAAGTTAAGGATGCACGGCCGTGACACAGCCTCACGAGGTCCTGACGACATGCGCCCAAGGTGGTTGGGTACAGCTTGGTGTTATCAATCAGTATATGTAAGATGCACATTGGTTCAGGCCAGAAAGCCAGGACAACTCAAAGTGAGGAAGAGGGTTCACAGGTCATAGGTAGATAAGAGACAAATGGTTGCATTCTTTTGAGTTTCTGACCAGCCTTTCCTAAGGAAGAAATCAGATATGCATTTATCTCAGTGAGCAGAGGGATGACTTTGAATAGAATGGAAGGCAGGTTTAGCCTAAGCCATTCCCAGCTTGATTTTTCCCTTTAGCTTAGTGATTTTGGGGTTCCAAGATGATAGATAGATAGATAGATAGATAGATAGATAGATAGATAGATAGATAGATAGATAGATAGATAGATTGATTGATTTTGGGGTTCCAATATAGATAGATAGATAGATAGATAGATGGATGGATGGATGGATGGATGGATGGATGGATGGATGGACGGACGGACAGATCAGAAAGTGAGCAAGAAAAAGATCTTACTTAGCAATTAGAAATGCAAATTTTTAGATGTGAAAAACCTTTGATATAGTATATATGGCATCTACCCTATTGTAAGCAAAAGGATATAATTAAATAACGATACAATTAAATAGTCTAAGTACAACTCATATTCTAAAACATAGCTAACAATTCATGAGTCTAAGCATTTCAGCCACAGTATCAATAGCCCGATGCTTGCAGTACATGACAAAAATCACTACAACCACAATACAAATTCAATAGAAAGCAACAAGCTCGGTAAATATTGAATATGTTAATTAATTTATTCAAGTTCTTTGGCTGCTGTTCTATAATGATTTTCTTATTTGCCTGAGAAATTAACGGTGTCCACACTGGCCCTTTCAAAAATGCTCAAGAAATGGTGTCCTGAAGGTTGATATTATTATCGTTTTGTCCAAACACAGCTAGTGACCTTGAGAATACATAGAAACCTAATCAGATTCGCAGGAGAGTAACAGAGGCGCCAATCAGACATTTAGTGAGGTGCTGGGGTCAGCTTGACTGATAAAAGTCGTGGGTAACAAGTTTTAGCTCACTAAAGTCACCGGGGAACCTTCAGCCTTACTTGGGGTAGTTGATGCTCTCGCATATCTTCGTACACAATGGAAATTCTGAGGACCTTTATTGCCTGCCCTGCTGATCGTCTATGAGATTAGTTTCTGAGCTTGGTAGATTTGAGCGTGAGTAGCTGACAAATGTTATCAATTTTATGCAGTCGACATCTGATCAGGTGTCATGGTCTTGAGTCTTTCAAGATTCAATCTTTTGGGGGCTTGCCTATCTCTTTTCAAGGCTAAGGAGAAATTGGACTAAGAGGAATATTTGGATGAATTGCCCTTTGTTTTTGCTTAGCGTCATTTTAATTTTCATCTCCTCTAACAGGTATGCGTGGCATATACAATACAGAGATACATAAGGGAGCCATTAATAAAGATTCTTGTAAATTGCCTTTATTTTATTTTTATTTATTTATTTATTTATTTTGAGACGGAGTCTCGCTTTGTCGCCCAGGCTGGAGTGCAGTGGTGCGATCTTGGCTCACTGCAAGCTCCGCCGCCCGGGTTCATGCCATTCTCCTGCCTCAGCCTCCCGAGAAGCTGGGACTACAGGCGCCCGCCACCTCGCCCAGCTAATTTTTTTGTATTTTTATTAGAGACGGGGTTTCACTGTGTTAGCCAGGATGGTCTCGATCTCCTGACTTCGTGATCCACCCGCCTCGGCCTCCCAAAATGCTGGGATTACTGGCGTGAGCCACCGCGACCGGCCTTAAATTGCCTTTAAATGTGGACTTCAGTGAGTAGATGGTTCTAACATGTTTCTCTTAATTATTAGCTTGTGTCCATTATTGGGATGTTTATGAGACAAAACTGGATCCATTTGGATCAATGAAAGCTTGGTTTAAAAAAGGGAATTGGTCTTGGGGAAATTTTGTGAAACAGCATTTTGGCTTATGAAAGGAGATTATCAATTGAAATAAAAATGAGATGCCATTTTTTACCCATCACAGTGCCCAAGATTTGAAAGTTTTATGGTACACACCCTCACTGTAACATAAGAGTGGAGGGAGTCAGACACTCTCTATACTGGGGATATAAATTGGTATAACCTCCATGGGGAGCAAAATTGACAATGTCTAATTTTTTTTTTAAATACACATGACTTTTGAGCCAACAATTCTACTCCTAGAAGTCTACCTTAGAGATACATTGACAGATGTACAAAAACATTTTCACATTGAATTAGTGACATATTCAAATATCCATCAATAGAAGACTGATTTAATGAAATGTTCCGGGCTAGGTGGCTCACACCTGTAATCCCAGCACTTTGAGAGGCTAAGGTGGGTGGATCACATGAGGTCAGGAGTTCAAGACCAGCCTGGCCAACATGGCAAACCCCCGTCTCTACTAAAAATACAAAAATTAGGTGGACATGGTGGTGCCCATCTGTAATCCCAGCTGCTCAGGAGGCTGAGGCAGGAGAATCGCTTGAGCCCTGGAGGCAGAGTGTACTGCCCTCCAGCCTGGATGACAGAACGAGACTGTTTCAAAAAAAGTAAAGAAAAAGGAAATATTCCAGATCCGGACAGTGAAGTACAATTTATAGTTGTAAAGTATGTTCTATTTGTGTGTTTGTGTGTGGACACGTGCATATGTGTGTGTGTATATATAATCACCAATGGTAACATTTTATGCCTGAATCTGATTAGAATATCTCAAGAAGCATGTAAAAGTGGTTGCCACTAGTGAGAACTGGGTGGCTGTAGGTCAGAGGTATAAGAGAAATTAACTTTTTGTTTCTGCTCCCTTGTTAATTTTGAATTTTGTATCATCTGCATATATTACCTACTCAAAAAATAGTAACAAAAGAGTTTCAAAAGCAGAGCTTTTCAGTTTTGAGGGTAAGAATTGGGTTGCTCCCAACTGGGCACGGTGGAGCATGCCTGTATTCTTGCCACTTTGGGAGGCTGAGGCGGGTAGATCACTTGAGGTCAGGAGTTCGAGACCAGTCTGGCCAACCTGGCGAAACCCCATCTCTACTAAAAATACAAAAAAATTAGACGAGTATAATGGTCAATAGCCTGTAATTCCAGCTACTCGGGAGGCTGAGGGAGGTGAATTGCTTGAGCCTGTCTACTGTGCTCCAGCCTGGGCAACAGAGCAAGACTCCATCCCAAAAACTTGAGTTGCTCCCTCTCAAGCATGTGCTTAGAGAAGAGGTAAAAATCAGTGATTCCGTCATGGTAGGAAGTGGGTAGCATCACCCAGAAAGTACAAATGCAAGCAATCCGGGTTAAGAAGTGAAACAAGCATCACTATACTCCGCTCCCCTTGGCCTGGCTTTGTCCCTTTTCTGCAGACTCCGAACAGGAAGGCGGGGTGTTTATCTTTCCAGCTTTCCCTTTCCGTCTTGCTGATGTTCTCTGCTGTGAGTTTCAAGACTTTCAAAACTCACAAGCAGGGAAATGAGTGTCAGGCACACCCAGGAGTACCCTGAACTAATGATGGGGCGAAACATAATAACTCATCTTTTCTCAGTCTTGCCATCTTTCACTTACTGTACCATTTGGAGTCAGAGGCTTACAAGGATTCCGAGGTCACCACCAGAAGTGTGCAATTGGAATGTGCCAGGAATGATCGCCTGGGCTTCACCACGTGGACTTTCTAAGGCACTTGTTTTCTAGGGTTCAAATGCACATTGTGGAGACACTAATCCTTACTGCATCCTCCTGAATCTTTTATAGACTTTTTTTTTTTTTTTTTTGAGGTGGAGTTTCACTCTTGTTGCCCATGCTGGAGTGCAATGGCACGATGTCGGCTCACTGCAACCTCCGCCTCCCAGGTTCAAGTGATTCTCCTGCCTCAGCCTCCCAAGTAGCTGGGATTACAGGCGCCAACCACCACGCCTGGCTAATTTTTGTATTTTGGCATTGAGATGGTCAGAGAAGCAAAACACATGGAAAGGAAGGTGGAGGATTCTGTTTCCAGAGATTCGCTTACTAGTGTGTTTCTTGCATATCTTTAGTCTATTTCATAGGAACAGTGTGAGGCTGTATTAAAAACTAGAGATAAAAACTGGAGATTAAAAACTAGAGATAAAAATACAGCTGGATCGAGGCTGGGATCCTCTTGTGCTCTGGTCCCAGATGCCCTTTCCTGATCTCCGTTATAATAAAATCCTCGTGGGTACGCAGCCCAGGAGAAAAATACAGACAACAGAAGGATTTTTCTATCAAGCTAAATTTATCCACTTTAAAACCCAATATTTTTATCTCTCCTGTTTTCAGTGTGTGTTAAAATGTCTTTTCTTTAATAAAATCATGGAGACAGCAGATTATATTTGGCTTGTTTCATTTTTTTCTTCTTTTTTTTTTTTTGTTTATTTGTTTGTTTTTGAGATGGAGTCTTGCTTTGTTGCCCAGGCTGGAGTGTAATGGCGTGATCTTGGCTCACTGCAACCTCAGCCTCACGGATTCATGCAGTCCTCCCGCCTCAGCCTCCTGAGTACCTGGGATTACAGATGCCTGCTACCACGCCCAGCTAATTTTGTATTTTTAGGAGAAACAGGGTTTCACCTTGTTGGCCAGGGTGGTCTCAAACTCCTGACCTCAGGCGATCCACCCGCCTCAGCCTCCCAAAGTGCTGGGATTATAGGTGTGAGCCACCGTGCCCAGTCTATTTTGTTTTTAATTCCCTAACGTAGCATATAAGATACTGACAACCCTATAGGTTGGTCCCCCCGGTATTTAATTTCATTTTCAGATTGTACTGTTTCATATTACTCAAAGTCTGGAAACCCTCATCTAGTTAAGCTGGGAATTTGACACATGAGGAAACTGAACCCAGGGAGACTGAGGTCCTCAAGTCACCAACTAAGTGATGCCAGTGTTCCACTATGCACCTGCATTATTGGGCATGTCCTCCCACCAGGAAATTGTCCCCAAGGTTGTAGTTGTTGCAGTAATATTAGAAAGCCAATGAGGGGAGGCATCCTTTTCTCTTCTAGGGACGGCCTGTGTGAAGATGCATGAACCTGGTGTCAGGCACAGCACTGCCATTGTAAGATAAATTTAGGTCACTGGACATCCGTCTCTCTTTGAGCTAAACTGGACCAAGGACTTGTAAGCTGAACAAGGAGCTCAGGTTATTTATTGATTAGGGTTGTAAAGTGCAGGTAGAGACCCACCCACCCAAGGCCCAGGATCAGATCTGATCATCTCTCATGAAAATATTTCATTTTCTCCTGAAAATATTTATCTGTTGTCTTGTGGAAGCTTCATTTTTCTCAGGGATGGACACTGTATATATTCACCTCATGGAAGCTTAAAGGGCAAGAGACATCCTCCCATGGCTGTTCCACAGCCAGCTGTTCTTGGAACTCTTCTTCTAAGTTCTGGAACTCGAGTGTGGGTAACAGAGGGCCCTGTCTGCTCAAGGATCCAGCAATAGTCAGGGACGTGCGTCTCTGGATTCTCATCACTCGGAACCCCGAGACCTGCCCTCACCTGCTACCAGCCTGCCACAGACAACCAGCTGGGTACCGATAGCTCCTCCACAGCCTAGGGAGCAGGCAAGGATATGCACAATGCAACAAATGCGCTTAATGAACATCTAGGGAAAGGCAGGGTACACAGTGCCATGACCTCCCAAGCATGTCCTTAGTGGGGGACCCTAGGGACCAAATAGAAAAATGTCCAAGTTATAACAGATAGCTCTTGCTATTGGGGAATGTAGTGTCTCAACAACATAGTGGACCCGTGTTTAGCTCCCACTTATAAGTGAGAACATGCGATATTTGATTTTCTGCTTCTAAGTTAGTTCACTTAGGATGAATGCCTCAAGCTCCATGCATGTTGCTGCAAATGAGGTGATTTTATTCTTTTTTAGGGCTGTGTAGCATTCCATGGTGTCTATATATCACATTTTCTCCCTTCCTTCCTAACTTCTTTTCTTTTCTTTTTTCTTTTCTTTTCTTTTTTTTCTTTCTTTTCTTTCTCTCTCTGTCTCTCTCTCTCTCTCTCTCTTTCTGAGTTTTGCTATGTTGCTCAGGCTGGAGGGCAATGACACGATCTCGGCTCACTGCAACCTCCACCTCCTGGGTTCAAGAGATTCTCCTGCCTCAGCCTCCCACGTAACTGGGATTACAGGCACATGCCACCATGCCCAGCTAATTTTTGTATTTTTAGTAGAGATGGGGTTTCGCCTTGTTGGCCAGGCTGGTCTTGAACTTCTGAGCTCAAGTGATCCACTCGCCTCAGCCTCTCAAATTGCTGAGATTACAGGCATGAGCCACCATGCCCGGCCTATCACATTTTCTTTATCCAATCAGCCATTGGTGGACACTTAGGTTGGTTCCTTGACATTAGCTATTGGGTACAATGCTCAATATTTGGGTGATGGTCACACTAGAAGCCCACACTCCACCAATAAGCATGTATTAATAATATCCATGTAACAAGCACATGTGCCCTGAATCTAAAATAATTTTTTTTTTTTTTTTGAGACACAGTCTCGCTCTGTTGGCCAGTCTGGAGTGCAGTGGCACAATCTAGGCTAACTGCAACCTCCACCTCCCAGGCTCAAGCGATTCTCCTGCCTCAGCCTCCTGAGTAGCTGGGATTACAAGCATGTGCCACCACGCCCGGCTAATTTTTGTATTTTTAGTAGAGACAGGGTTTCACCATGTTGGCCAGGCTGATCTCGAACTCCTGACCTCAGGTGATCCGCCCACCTCAGCATCCCAAAGTGCTGGGATTATAGGCGTGAGCCACCGCGCCCAGCCAATACAATTATCTTAAAAGAACGTAGTGGAGCCTCGCAGATATTCAGTTTCGTTCCAGACCTACCTGGTGACTACTGCAGCCACTTGAATTGCTCTTGGGTATATCTGGCAATACCAGGCAAAGTTACCAAGACTGGGAAACAGACTGTGCATGATTTCCCACCACCACCGTCTCCTGCTCAAAGACACAAACACACTCAGCCCCATTTCCTTCCTGCAGGATGTCCCCCGCCTTTTATCACTAGTGCAGTCCAGGGATGCTGGCTCCTAGCAACAGATGGGGTGAGGGGATGCCATGCTGGTGTCTGAGGGGTGATGGTGGACACGGCACAGAACACCGCATCCACCAAAGGGTGGGCGTCTTAGGGTGGTGTCCGCCAGCAGCTCCCCCTTGCTGGCGCCCCCTGGTGGCCTTCACTGGAAGTGGTGGCAACGTAGTTCCCAGGCAGCAACAGTGAGGGAGGGGTCGCGGGTGTGGATAGCGCTACTTGCGGTTCACCGTTTACAGACTCTCCCAAGTACAACTCTCCTGCAAGTCAAGGGGTGATAATGCTTTGTTTTAGCCGGAAGTTCACCAAGAACTATTCATGTTTCAGGAAAAGCGCTTCACTAATGGCAATACCCCAGTGGCATTTGAGTCTCCAACATGACAGACATTTGGCAATTAGCATTTGGAGTTCTGGCCTCACAGTAATTAAGAAATCGATCACTTCTTCATGATTTCTGGTTGTAGTTGCATTATCTGCAAACATTTACATATTGTAATATATGTTATTTGCTGACAGATTACTTTCCTACTATCTTTTGTTTACATAACAGAGAATTGTGCTAATTTTTTTCAATAATATGTGTAAGCAGGTTGCACGATCCATGAATTTTATTTGAGGACAGTAAGGGAGTATTTTTAAATACTTGTTAGAGCCAGCAGTGGTAGAATGCGTGAAGTCCCAGCTACTCAAGAGGCTGAGGCCTGAGGATTGCTTGAGTCTGGGAGTTCAGGGTCAGCCTGGGCAACATAGAAAGACCCCATCTCAAAAAATTAAAAACTTAGAATATTTCTTAGAACCAAGGCCGCTGACTCTAAAGGGATTAAACATCATTGATCATTCTAAGGCCCATGGGAAAGGCAATGGGGGAAGAAAAAAAAAAAATCTAAGTCAGAGTTGGGTGAAATGGATGGTGGTTCTTCCTCAAGATTGTTTTACAACCAGCAGACTTCCTGGATTTGGCAATGACATTAATGAGCAAAATGCCCCACTCAAAGTTGTCCAAAGTGCAGAACATGCAATGGTAGTAGTCGTCACATAGCTCCAGCTCCTATTCCACAGCTTCTCATTTCAGACCAGCTCTAAGAGCTTCGCCTAGAGCTCATGCCTTGGTTCTCTAAACAACTCCGGAAGGCATGGAAATCTTTAAATCCTGTGTGTCTGTTACAGATGGGAAAGAGCCATTAAAAAACATCTGTAAGGCTGGGTGTGCCTAAAATCCCAGCACTTCGGGAGGCCGAGGCAGGTGGATCACCTGAGGCCAGGAGTTCAAGACCAGCCTGACCAACATGGTGAACCCCCATCTCTACTAAAAATACAAAAATTAGCCAGGCATGGTGGTTGGCGCCTGTATTCTCAGCTACTCAGGAGGCTAAGGCAGGAGAATCACTTGAACCCGGGAGGCGGAGGTTGCAGTGAGCCGAGATTGTGCCATTGCACTCCAGCCTAGGCAACAAGAGTGAAACTCCATCTCAAAAAAAAAAAAAAATGTCTATAAAAGATTCAGGAGGATGCAGTAAAGATTAGTGTCTCCACAATGTGTATTTGAACCCTAGCAAACAAATGCCTTAGAAAGTCCACGTGGTGAAGCCCAGGCGATCATTCCTGGCACATTCCAGTTGCACACTTCTGGTGGCGACCTCGGAATCCCTGCAAGCCTCTTTGACTCCAAATGGTACAGTAAGTGACAGATGGCAAGACTGAGAAAAGATGAGTTATTATGTTTCACCCCATCATAAGTTCAGGGTACTCCTGGGTGTGCCTGACACTCATTTCCCTGCTTCTGAGTTTTGAAAGTCTTGAAATTCATCCTTGTGACTGGTCAGGGGTTGTGGGTGCATGAGCCAGGGACTGCGGTGGGGCTGGAGATGGATGCAGAGGAATAGAGGCTTTGTACTCATTGGAGAGGCTGTCAAAATGGAAAATGCATCCTGAGTGGGAAAGACAAGGTTGGTTGTGTAAGCCATCTACACAAACATGGAAGAATAAGGGCAGATGCTAAGAGTGTAGTCTTCTGAGAACCACTGCCTGATCCCAGGCCAGTGCCAGGCTGCCAGGGGCCCTATAGAAGCAAACCTTTAAATTAACATGTCTGTTCTCCAAGAGATAGCTGGAGCAGACAGGCCAGCCTTTAACTAGACCCAGACAGGCAGCTTGTTGTCTATATGGCCATCAAAAGGGCTTGTTTTACTTAAACAAACAAACAATCTTTAAAATCCTCTCTCTTTGTAGTTTGAAGGTAAGGCAGAAGCTTGATAGACAAGTATGTCATTAGGACATTAATATCAGTTGCTCTTACACATATCATTGAGAGTTTTCTTTTCCATCTTTATGGAGATATCACGGACAAAAATTGTATGTATTTAAGGTGTATGATGTAATGTTCCTATGCAGGTATACATTGTGAAATAATCACCAGGATCAAGCTAATTAATGTATCTATCACCTCATATAGTTGCCATTTTCTTTTTTGCTTTCTTTTTCTAAAAAACATTTTATGATGAGAACACTTAAGATCTATCCTCTCAGCAAATTTCAAGTAGACAGTACAGCATTGTTAACTCAGTCACATCGCTGTGCATTGGGTGCCCAGAACTTATTCCTCCTGCGTAACTGAAACTTTGTACCCCTTGACCAACATCTCCCCATTTCCCCCTCCTCCAGCTCCTGGAAACCACATTCTACCCTGTTCCTCTGTGAGTCTGGCTATTTTAGCCTTCTACCTAGAAGTGAGATGATGCAGTATATGTGTCTTTCTGTGTCTGACATTTTTCACTTAGCGTAATATCCTCCAGGTTTGGGAAAAAGACAATCTCTTCAATAAATGGTGTTGTAAAAACTGGATATCCACAACGCAGAATAATGAAACTGGACCTTTATTTTATACCATATACAAAAATCAACTCAAAAACGATTAAAAACAAACATGTAGTTTTTTTTTTTTTTTTCATGTAAACTGGATCTGTGGGACTAATTGGGTGATCAAAATAAAAGCCAGTGGTTTTGCTCTTTAAAAGTATCTCAGTACTTATTTAATAATTGGATTAAACTTCTACTTAGGTTTACTGACCCAGGCATGAAAATAGGTAACTAATGTGTCTTACTGACTGATTCTGATCCACTGTGTGGTGGTCTGATCACCTGCCCAAACCTGATCTTCAAATATGTGATCTTGCTGAATAGAAAACCACTGCTCTAGGTTAGACAGGAAAATGGTTCAAGGAACACATTTTGTATATGCAATTGCCTACTGCTTTGGGCTTACACGTGGTTGTCCTTAATAGAGATTGGTTGATATGAACTGAATTAATCTAGTTGAGGCAAGAACCTCACTTTTGCGGAGCACTCATGCGTTTGAAGCAGATGATTCATTTTCAGGGCTGCAGAAATCTATAATACTCTCTCTAGAAGAACGATCTGCCCACCGTTTCCCTAGGGAGAAGGACTAAGGAGAGACCAGCTTCATGCCTTTACAAATAATTCAGCCAATTCCCACCCCACCACCGAGACTTCTATTTTATTTGAATCTTACCACTAAAACGTTAAGCCCGCTGGAGGAGATGTTTCATAGAAATGGGAGAAAGAGATGATCATCTGAGGTTCAAAGAGAAAGAAATTTAACGGTTCTGAATTTAAAAACATACCCACAAGTGTTGTTATTTAAATGCACAGAACAAATTCCGGTGTTTGCCTACCGTATAGAGTGTGTCACTGATTAATTATTCTCAACCGGCCAGCCCCAGCAGGATGGTTCATGTCAGATCATTCTTAGGTGGCCACCAAGCTTTGATCAACGGTTAAAGTGGATTTTTTTCCAACAGAAATTTACACCATCAAAGAAATGTCTATAAATAGTAGCAGGATCCTGTGCTGTCAGCATTGAGACCTTGGCTGTCAACTCTTCAAACCCAATGATCCCTGGGCTCAACCCTAGGATCCATCACTGCCCTGATGTCCCTGCCACTTAGTGCTGCAAATCCCAACCTCAGGAGGTGTACTACATACCTCCCTCATTCTCACTCATTGCCCTTCCCACAGGGTGGGAGTATGGATATCGATACAAGCGTGCAATGTGTCATAATCACACTGTGGAAAATGGGGGTCTCCATCCCCTCAAGCATTTATCCTTTGAAAAGCAAGTTTTGTTAGTCCCTTTCCTTATGAATTAAATTTGGACAAAATGTTTTTAATATCTGGATTTTCATAAGAGATATGTTTATTTCATCAACCTTCCTCCTGGGGTGGACAAGGGATCAGAGCATGGAGAACAGTTAATGTTTCTTAGGTAGGGCAACAGCCTCTTCTCCCCCTTTGTCAGTGACTCTCCCTCATCCCCAAGTCCCAGAGTGAGTCCCCTGATAAGGAGTTACGCTCTACATTCATATTTCCCAAGAAAAAATAATGTAAGATTACTTCAATCACATCAGGCCTCCTCTTTTCTAGTCTGTAAGGTCTTGAAGAAGAAACAATATCTTAATCATCTTTGTAGGCACCAGCACCTATGCCAGTATATACCCCAGTTAGTAAATAAACATTTGTCCAAAGGGTGCATTAATGAATGAACAAATGAATGTTCACATTTGATATAAGTATTAATAAAATGTCCCCATAATTATCAAAAAAATATATAACAGGTAGTTAGAATATAGTTACTAAGAAAACATCCACAATCGATCGGCCCAAGCCAGCCTTCACCATGTTCTCATATACCGATAAGCACTGACACCCGTGAACTTGCTTGTATGAATGTATCTTCAAGTTTTTCTGTCTTAACACTGGTGTGGTTCTACTTCCTCCCTGGTACCCAGTTACTCCAAGTGGCTCATATCATTCACTAAAATCCGAATTCATGATTAATGTCTCTTCGGGGTGACATCCGCATACACTAATTTCCTGTGCATTCTTCAGGCTAACTCCCTTCTGGTCAATTTCTCTCCTTTGGAAACTATTAAAGTGACTTTTGTTGGAAGAACAGGATGTTCTGAATACATTCTTCTAGAGCCCCAGTGCTAGAGTAAGAACCACACACTCTGCCCAAATCATGTACAATTTCTTATCCCTGAAGTTTGCTATTTACATTCTAAGAGAAGCCAATGCACTGACTGTTTGATTTTTGTTTTGTTTTTGTTTTTGTTTTTGTTTGAGACAGAGTTTAGCTCTTGTTGTTCAGGCTGGAGTGCAATGGCGCCATCTCGGCTCACTGCAATCTCTGTCTCCCAGGTTCAAGCAATTCTCCTGTCTCAGCCTCCCGAGTAGCTGGGATTACAGGCACATGCCACCAAGCCCAGCTAATTTTTGTATTTTTAGTAGAGACAGGGTTTCATCATATTGGTCAGGCTGTCCACCCGCCTCGGCCTCCCAAAGTGCTGGGATTATAGGCGTGAGCCACCATGCCCGGCCGCATTGACTGTTTTTAAAGCCCCCCAAAAAATTGTCTTAGAAAATAGTCACATAAAGTCATGGTTGAGACTGGGAGACTCAACTCTCTCTTGGCAACTGCTTTAAATGGAAACAATAGCTCTTCTCCAAGGTCTGATCCCTTGTCCATCCCAGGAAGAGGGTTGATGAAACAAACAAGTAGTATATCTCTTATGAAATTCCAGCTATTAAAAACATTTTGTCCAAATTTAATTCATAAGGAAAGGGGCTAAGAGGACTTGGTTTTCGAAGGATAAATGCTTGAGGGGATGGAGACCCCCATTTTCCATGATGTGATTATGATGCATTGCATGCCTGGATCAAAATATCTCATGTAACCCATAAATATATACACCTACTATGTACCCACAAACAATAAAAATAAATTCTTTTAAAAAAAGAAAGAAAATTTGATGTTGAACACTCCTCTGAGATCGCTGGAAAACTAGAACAATGTTGCACATATGCAGATACATACCCTCCCCCTAGTCTCCTTATGATAGGGCCCCTCATGGGCATCAGGCTGTCTTGCTTGGTGAGAGAAGGCACTTGGCTTTTTGAGGACCTTCAGGGCAGCTATAGTTTTAACAAAAGATGGCAACTATGTGGCAAGAAGTCCTCTTGTGTTGAGACTTTCTTGCTGATGTGATGCAGCTGGTTATTGAATCAATTTCAGACATGGCAAAACCATGAGCCCCTAGGAAGGTCTGTAGCTCAGTTAGCCCATCAGGGAAATAGATTTTCTGTGCATTCTTGGCTATTGAAGACATTCATCTCAGCACTGCCCGCCCCTTCCTATGCCGTTCCTAACAAGAGACACCTGCTGTGGGACCCGCTCTAATTCTTCCATTAGAGGCCTGAAAACAAAATAGAAACCATAACTCGAAGAACATGCATGTACAATTTAGGACCCACTGTCAAGCTAAACTCATCTGACAAGACTCCAAATCTGCTTTTGAAATAATACAGTGCTTTTTGTCCATTTCTTTATCTTTGCCCTTAATTTTATGGTAGCTTTGTTTAAGTGTGAAATGTTGAATTAAGTCTGTGTCTATCTCCTCTGGGAAAAGAAAATTCACAGAGAGATACTAAAATGGAGAGTTTTAACCGTTCATACCCGAGAGAGCTCTGATATGCAGGGAGGGGAGTTTTACTGTAAAGCAGAAATGTTATATTTATATTTCCCTCTCGATCTCATGAGGCCCACCTTCTTTGACATCAATGTTGGCTGTTAAGTGGTCACACTCTGTTTGGAATCAGGAGACCAGAGTTTAACAGAAAGTGTTTAGGGAACTAAGAGGACAGAACTGGGCACTGGCTTGCTAGACGAAGGCTGATTTTGTTACTACAGTCACAGCAAGGATGGCCATTAGCGTCTTGACAGCCACGTGTCCCTGAGAGATTTTCTCAGGCCTGAAAAACTGTCCAAAGCAGTATCTTTCTTAGGATACGTGATTTCAGCCTTAAAAAGGGAAGAAAGTCCGACACAGGCTACCCCGTGGGTGAACCTTGAGGACATTACACTAAGTGAAATAAGCCAGTCACCAAAGGACAAACACTATATGATCTCACTTATACGAGGTCCCTAGAGTGGTCAAATTGATAGAGACACTAAGTAGAATGATGATGGCCAGGCAGCTGTGGGAGGGGAGAAATGGAGTTATTGTTTAATGGTCACAGTGTTTCCGTTTTGCAAAATGAGAAGAGTTCTGGAGATGGATGGTGGTGTAATAGTGACTATCCTTAAGGCCCCAAAATTTTTCTTAGACAATAATCATGTGATGTCATTGTTGAGACTAGCAGACTGCCTTAAATAAGAAACACTAGCTGTTATCCACAGTCTGATCCCTTGTCCATCCCAGGAAGAGCATTGATGAAATAAACAAGTCTATCTTGTTTATTCCAGTACAATGTGAACCAAGTACAAGGTGAATGTACTTAACACTACGGAACAGTACACTTAAAAATAGTTAAGATGGCAAAATTTATGTGAGGTATATTTTACCACAATTTCCAAACATTTTTAAGTTAAAAAAAAAAAGCAAACTTTGGAAGCAGAAAAGGAGAAACTGCATTTGCAAGATTTCGTGGATATTCTGTAACTGGCAGAAGCTTGAGGAATTGACACGAGATATTAAATTTTTTCCTTGATGTTTATCTACTCTTGCAGCAGAGGGGGTGCATAGGATGGAGAAGAAAGACAGTGTGAGGGATCTAATAATATTCTGAGGAAAAATTTAGTACCCTCACAACTTTCGTTTCCTTGTTTTTCACAAGACTATGTGCTTTTCAGTCATCGTGTACAAAACAAGGTCTGATACGTTCTCTACAAAGAACTATTGATGGTGTGTCTGTGTGAATTGCCCTAGCATTGGTCACAGCCAACTTCTGTGGGACCCACTGCCCCCGTTCGACAATACACTCCAGTGTGTTTAGCCATTTATGAAAGGTCAGAAATCAACTGAGAAATGGGCTAGAGTCAAAAACATGTGGCCCTATAAATATCAGAGTCAGACAGTCTATTCCATTTTCCCCACTCTTGCTTTCACCCCATCTCACTTCTCTCTTTCACTCACTGGTGAGGTTCTCTGCGCTTGGCCAGCACCTCGGACTGTGAAGTTACACAGGGAAGGCAGTGGCTGCAGTCTTCATCTGGTGGCCTCGCTTTATGCCCATTCTGATCCCATAGCACCATTATTAGAGTTTGGTGTTTGTTTTTTCAAAATATCCTTGTACAGTTTCTGGCTACACAGCTCGAGCAGTCCAGCCTGCGATGTTCTGCTTTCTTTTAAGGGTTTCTACTTCCCATTAGTGGCAACCCTGCCTTGTGATCAAATTTGACGCCGACGGTGTTTCCTGAGCTGGGGAGTTTGCAGATCTGATCTGTCAGCGGGGACTGAGAGCAAATCGGGACATTCATCATGACTTTGGCTGCCAAGCTGGAAGACTTTGAGCTGACACTGGAGCACCTGCTCATGGATGTGTTTGTAAGTAAAGGCTTTTCCTATTCCAGGCGCAAGAGAGTCTCCCCTGCCACTCCGAAAGTCCTTGGGACCCTGTCCCCATTACGGAATCTCATTCTGATCTGCAACTGTGCAGTTCCCAAGTCCACATGATTTATTCTTACTCATGTGCGGTCAGGGGAGAAAACCGTAAAGTTCCTCAGTGCCTGAGTGGCACAGAATAGTCCATGCAGATTAAATAGTAGAGATGTGGGTTTAGAATCAAGTCACTTGCAGAAATCTGAATGAATAGGGTGAAGAAATAGAAACCATTTGCCAGAAGAGATCAAAGCAGCTTCAGTAGCTATTCCCTGAATGAACCACATTTGTTTGTTTATGAAGTGACCATCCCAGAAAAAAAAGTGGGGAGGGTGCTCAAAATGCTAATTTTTTTTTTAGAGGATGCTGAATCTAGGATAGAAGCATGAACTTCACTGTCCCCAGAATTCCAGTGTGTGGGTCCCTGCTACTTGGAGAGGCATTCAGTTACCAAGAGTTCCTCAGGAAGTGATTTTGTGGCCTGAGGCTGTTTGAGAGATTCTCTGCTAAAGAAAAGAGCAGCTGACAAGGACACTTCTATTCCTGTGATGATTTTAGCGATGCAGGCTTTGAAAACTGCAGGGCACGCACTGCAACCTTCACATCATTTCTATCTTAAACCAACCACACTCTTTCTTCCAGTACTTTTCTCAGGGTTTTCTGTTGGCCACGGGTCTGTTCGTTCTGTGTTGTTCATAGGGGTTTAGGGAACTGCAAGACTGTGAAATACACAGGTGGTAAGGCAGCTGAAAGGTCTTCTCGATCCAAGAACAACACTGCGCTGCCCCCGGGAAGGCGGCTGTGAGCTGTTACCTTTCCAGGACCCGCCAGTCTGCGTCTCGCAGCTGGAGAAGGCTATGGAAGGTTGGCGCTTTCTTTATAGTACATCACTGAGTCCTTTTCAGGAACCTTTCAGGGAATGGTGTGTTTTGGCAGACGTGAGAGTCTGAGGCTTTTTTTTTTCTTTATTAATTTAAAATTTGTCTTCAAATTGAGGCAACATTGTGCTGGCAGAATTCCCAGAGGGAATCGCCCTTCCCAGGGCTGGGTGTGGGGCTCTGGGCGACTCGCATTCATTCTGACCTTCGTGTTGGAAGTTATGCCTGGAGGAGGAATGCGTCCAGAAGGGAGAGCGTCCTTCTGGGTTTCCAGGGATGGGAGATTCATGGCCAGGGTCATGACTTTATGAGAAGTATGAGTAGAAACTGAACTGCAGACAGGGAGGTTTCTTGGACCACTTCCTCTGCCTGGCTGCCACTGCCTGGGATGGTGGGGATGGTGGCTGATGGCTGTGGAGTCACTCTTGGGGGTGATCTGTGGCATGCCAAAGTGTTGGTGTGAGTTTGGTCGTATTGGAGGAAACGAATTAATCAGGGAACTGTTTTATTTCAATACCACAAAGTCATTAATACATTTCCCATTCTCTCCTTAACTTCCCCTACCCGCAGGCTCCTCTCCTAACACTTCTACCACCTTCGTCTCCTTTCCCAGCTCCAAGATGCACTCCACCTTGAAAGAGAATGGGG
The DNA here is from genome assembly GCF_000001405.40 of Homo sapiens. Taxonomy (NCBI): domain Eukaryota; kingdom Metazoa; phylum Chordata; class Mammalia; order Primates; family Hominidae; genus Homo; species Homo sapiens. The sequence continues at coordinate 14,022,773 of NC_000010.11, read as the reverse complement.
TCAGACACTCCATCCTTTTCTCTAAATACAACCCATCTTTTCATAGCCCCAGTGTGCATCTTTGACTTATCACTTGAACTCACCTTCTCATCCTCCCACAGCCAGCACTTCTCCAGTTCTTCCATCCATTATCATCTCTAGCCCAACCTCCCCACACTCAATTTTTACCCCTTATTTACATAGCATTTGCCTGCCCTCTGTAGCAACATTTGTGCCCCTGCTTCTCCCTTGAGAAGCATTTAAATCACATTTAACATTATGCAATGTTTATATTAAATCATGTGATTCCAACAAATTCAGGCAGCTAGACAAAGTTTGGGCCAGATCACACAAGGTTTTGGAGGTCAAGTTCTCTTTTAAGCCTATCTCTTATAATTTCCCATTGTGAGTTCCCCACTCCAAACTGGTCAACATTAGTCTCTGCAAGACAGCGAGCCTCTTCTCATTACTATGTCTTTGTGCTTGTAATTCTGCTTCCTCTTGACCTGTCTGAAGTTCATACATCCTTCAAGCCTCAATGAAATTCTCTCCCCTCTGCGAAGCTTAGACACGTGGATTTCTGTCGCACTTCCTCTCTGTACCACTCATTATTTGTTGACCTCACTTAGTTAATTCTCTCATTCTGTGTCTCTGTCTTGCCTCCTCCTCAAGGTGATCCTGAGATCCAAAAGGCAAGGACACCTTTGTAACCTCCATGGCACCTAGAATATTGTATACAAGGACCTCAATAGATACATATCAATCGCTTGAGTTTTAACTAGTATATTTTTACTGTTATTGTAAAATTTAACTTTTGCTGGGAGCAATAAAATGCAAAAAAAAACGCAGAAATCTCATGATTGCATGCATTTCTTACCAGGTTGTACTCTGGTGTCTGACACAGTCATTTCAGATGCCGTTCTGGTGATATACTGAAGAAATCACTGGATGCAAAAATAATAGGGACTCTTTTTTGTTTGTAATTTGTTATTGTAAGATATCGGTGAGGTGCACAAAAGTCCATAAAACATGTATGGATAGTCTAAAGGATTATTTACAACATGAACACCCTGTGTAACCACCACCCAGATTAAAAATGAAATATTGTGAGTGAGGACTCCAGGAGTCTCTGAGTATCCCCTCTAGATTAAAATTCTCTCCCTCCCCCAGAGGGAAACAGAACCCTCCCCCAGTTTTTATTTATTTATTTTTATTTTATTGTATTTATGTATTTATTTGAGTCAGGGTCTCCCTCTATCCCCCAGGCTGGAGTGTGGTGACATGATGTTGGCTCACTGCAGCCTCGACCTCCTGGGCTCAAACAATCCTCCCACCTCAGCCTCCCAAGTAGGTGGGACTACAGGTATAAGCCACCATGCCCAGCTGTTTTTTTTATTATTTTTTTTTTTTATTTTTGTGGAGATGAGGTCTTGTTATATTGCCCAGGCTTGTCTTGAATGTCTGGGTTCAAGCAAACATTTTGCTTCAGCCCCGAAAGTGCTAGGATTATTACAGGTGTGAGCCACCATGTCTGGACCCCCCAGCTTTTATATAAAGATTTTTTTTATTTTCTGTATAGCTTCCCCACCTATATACACATCCCCAAAGAAAATTGAGAGGGAGCTTTAAAGTCTCATGGGCTCAAGTCTCAATCCCAGCTTGGTACCACTTCCTAGATGTGAGATTGTTGGCAAGCATTTCGTCTTTGTGAGCTTCAGTTTCCTTATCAATACAGTGCAGCTAATGCTACCCGGCTTACAGGATCATGGTGAAGATTCAGAAGAGGTGACATAGAGCAAGTGTCCAGGGGTGTGTCTGATGCCAAGGAGGCACATGGTAGGTCAGTTCTCTTCATCCCTTGCCTTGCCCCTAGAAAAGGCATCTGTTTTAAGTCGCCTGCTGCAATCCATCATCCCCCTTTCCTCCACCTCTACAGCTCTCTCCCACTATTTCTCCCTAACCTTTCCCCCTTGAATGATTGGGAATTTGGGTTCTTTCTAAGCACAGCCTTCACTCCCTGCCTGAACCACAGCAACCTGTGGCTGTTTCTCCTGCTACCAAAATTGCAGGAGCCCTGTGCTCCTGCTGGCTTCCCTAGCATGGCCTCTAAACAAAACAAAAAAAAAAATTGGGGCTGCCTTTTTTCCAGTCACCTTCCAGAGGAGTCAGGGAGATTGCCTGATGCCCCATGGGGTTTGAGAGGCTAAAAACCTAAATAAGAACAAAAGAAGACTTGACATCTATAGGCCAGTGTGTCCTCTCCCAGTCTTGCTGGGGACTGTAGCCTTTCTCATATGAGTGGGATGGTCTAGAAAGAATATTTGCATCAGAAGCCCATTAGCCTTGGGTTTCCTCTATAGCTGATGGCATGCTCATTAGGCTGTCATCCCACTATCTCAAGAACAGCTGTTTCCATATTGACACTTCTTTTCTGGGATTACAAAGGGCCACTGGGGGGCTTTGGGGGAATGCAAGGCTTCTGCAAGATGAGATAAAAGGGACAGATCAGACTGGTGTTTCATAATTAGTTGTCATCACTCTGGGGCGTCTCTGGCTGCTGCTATGCTGCTGGGTTCGTGAGAGGAAGCAGCACACATGTTCGCGTGCACAAGCTCGCACCTGCAAATGTACATGCAGGATCCTGCACCAATGCCAAGAGCACAAGACGGGAGATCAGTCCAAGCACACGAATGGCTCTTCAGGACAAGCTCCAGAAGTGTTGGCAGTGCCCTCAGTGACGTCTTTGTCCTGTTTCGTTTTGTCTGTCTGCATCTCGTTTCAGAAGATTTAAAATGCTTCTCTCCGAGGCATACCTTGGAGGCTATGCATTCAGCAGCCATTCCAACAGCAGGTCCATAGATGAGGAGCCCCACAACGCACCCCAAAGGAAAAAAAGAAACAGAGGAAATCAAGCAGGTTTCCTGAAACATTTCTCATTGGATTAAATAACCCAGTATCAGACTCAAATCTGTCCTTTCAGAAAGAGGCCTGTGGTTCTAGGTCACCCTCCACAGCCCTACTTCTGCTACTGACATTGCATGGGCACGTTCTCAAAGGCATCAGCCCCATCACTGTCCATCTGATCTGGCTCAAATCCCCTGTTTATATTGATCCTTCTGTTTATAATTTAATTTTTATTTTTATCAAAATAATATGTGTACATGGCAATATTCATAACATTTGAAAGCTGAAGAGTACTAGAAGGCTTAGAAAGAAAAACCCAGGCTCCAGTCCTTTCCTGCCAACTTATGAGTCTCTTTCCCTATAAACACATGTGTCTCTTCCCCCTCTGTCTACTGAATATATTGGCATCACAGCTTAAATCAAAATTCAGTTTTATTATGAATATTAAAATATTATTTACATCTGAGAAATGTTATACATTATGATGGCATGTCTTGGATTTTACAACTTTATGTTTTTCCTGGAGTTGATAATTGCCTTATTTCAGTGTTTGCTTTATGTTCTATGTATTTATCAATCATTTTTATCTAAGATTTTCAATAGAGCTATGTAACTCCTCTCAATTTGGTAAATTCATCAGATACTTAACCCACTCCTTTCTTTTTTTTTCTTTTTTGAGACATTCTTTCTGAAGCTCTACTTCCTCCTGCATCAATTGGATTAGCTCTTCTCTTGGTCTCTTGCGTGACTGTCTTCTTGAGGATCCTCTTTTCTATTATTCTGGGAACTCCCTTGGTACCTCTCCTGTGATCAATCCTTTTCCTGGAATTCATATTCCCTTCTAACATTCTTCTGCTGGAGACATCTTCCAGTAAAGGTGCATGAGAAGTAAATGTGCGTGTTATTGAATGTCTGCCCTCACACTTAACTAATAACTTATCTAGTGATCGGTATTCTCTTGTTGAAATCCAGAGCTGCATTTACAGGCTTGACTCTTCTCCTAAGTTCCAGGTCAAAATGTTCAGGCATCAGAAGCTCTGCATGCCCCGAGCTACTCATTATCATCTCCCCAAATCTTCCCCTCTTCCTGTGCATTTATTTTGACTAATAGGACCATCCTTCCTGTAGTCTGTCAGAATAGAAATTGTAAAAGAACAATGTCCTAGTTCTGCACTTAATCATTTCTCATTTGGACAATTGCAATAATCTTGTACCTGCTCTCTTGGCCTCCAATATACCTTGGTTCTTCATTCTACCATTCATCTTTTATCAATCAAGTCCCCAAAACTCAGATTGGATGGTGTCACTTCCTCCCTAAAAGTAACTTAAAATGGCTCCCCCTTGCTCATGGAATGAGATCTAAAATATATTGTTCTATAGTATGCAAGTCAGAATCTTGCCTTAATGTCATTTTTTTTTTTTTTTTTTTTTTTTTGAGATGGAGTCTTGCATTGTCGCCCAGGCTGGAGTGCAGTGGCACGACCTCGGCTCACTGCAACCTCTGCCTCCCGGGTTCACACCATTCTCCTGCCTCAGCCTCCTGAGTAGCTGGGACTACAGACGCCTGCCACCATGCCCGGCTAATTTTTTTTTTTTTTTGTATTTTTAGTAGAGACGGGGTTTCACCATGTTAGCCAGGATGGTCTATGATCTTCTGACCTTCTGATCTGCCTGCCTCGGCCTTCCAAAGTGCTGGGATTACAGATGTGAGCCACTGCACCCAGCTGCCTTAATGTCATTTCTTACCACCCTTGTTCTCACAGACAGAACTGTGCTATCTCATGTAATTTTCATGTCAACAGTCTATTAACTGCATTCGTGCCATAGAGGTTTAAAATTCTTAGAATGGAGTACCCCCAGCAAGCAAGAGCAGTTAGAATCCCCTACTCATCCTCATCTACCTCTAAGGATTTGTCCACTGGAGGTGTTTTACCCATTCTGGTCACAGCTTGCACTTTGGTGTTTTGATTTACAGGATGTTGGGTATACTCTAGAACACATTCAACATAAACCATATTCCCATGACATGAGGCTTCAAAGAGACTGTCTTTCTAACAGATTCAAGATGCTTTCTTTTCTTCCTTCCTCACTTTGGGAAAATATACCACGTGACTCATCCCAGATGTCCATGAGCAAATGGACAGTTGACCCTGGGAGTGATATGTCCCTGGGCACAGGAGCGAAAGGAATCTGATGGCCCTAAAGAAAGCCATTGTCCTTTGCAGCACCAGAGGGATTACTTGAACCAAGATGAACTATTCCCCTGTTGAAGAAAATTGCTTGTTAAATTTCTCCTCCTGGAAAAGGAAGCATGGAAATTAGAAACAGATGTAAAAGTTGATCATTCGCCACCCAATCCTTATTAAGACACCTGAAATTTGAGAGCTAAGCCTAGTAAAAATTGAGTCAACAGCTATTGGCTCTGTTTGGAGGTATGCTATATATATTCAGCGAATCCTGGGCAGTCAATACCATAGATAAGGACGTTATTTATATTGCCATTCCAGGTGCAATTACACAGTTTACCCTGTGAAACTGCACTTCATAAACATGGCAAATCAATGCTAGTTATCAAAATCCATCCACGACTGACAGCACATGAAAACGGGCTTTGCAAAATGATCTTGAAAGCCAATCTACACAGCCAGCTTCACAGAGGTCAGCTTATTACCCGTTTAATCACATGGCCATCTTGCAGGAGCGTTATTCCTCAAACCCTGGGCATGACATCACTCCTAATAGCACACACAATAAGCCATTACTACCATGTAGAATAGCCTTTAGCCAGGCTATAGCCACTGATGACCTGATTTGGCCTCATGCTGGGAAGGGCAAGTGGAGTTCTTTTGGGGACAAATCATATCAAGACCAGATGTGAAGGACCTTCGTGTGGAGGCATAAAATCCATCTGCAGCTTGTGAGCAAGATCTCTGTCTGTGGATGACGAGCTGAACAGCCTGCAAGGATGCTGATGGGCCTTGTCCTTGATGTCCATAAGGCAAGGCCTTCTGACACAGATACCGACAAATCTTCCACATGGGTCATTCATATTTGACATTCTCTATGGCTAGATCCTTGCCAGAAAGATCGAGTGAGATCCTGGGACACCTGATTTTCACATGAGGTTTCCATGCAGCAGATGGTGCATTTTCCTCCCTGCCCTGCAAGAGGATAAGGTCTAGCTTCCTTTGTCATGTGTGATTTTCATTTGATGGGGATAGGGGGTCTTAACCTGGGTGAATTAATTCTGTACTCATAGTTACTCAAATGAAATCTACTAAACAGGGAGCTCTCAAAGGTTCAAGAAGAAGTCTGTTTACCACTCAAAATAGGTGGCTAAGCCGGATGGCCTTTAAGGAATTCAGGCAGATGAAACGTGGACCTTATAGCAGAACAGACAGGAAGAGGCAGATGGCTAGACGGTGAAGTGCAGGAGGCTGTTGTGGCAAATGAGACAACAGGAAAACCGTGTGCAGAATTGAGACTGGAAGAAAAGGGAAGGTGCACACGTCTTGTTTACAAAGAACTTTCACAAACATTGTTTCATCCTGTTGGGTAGGTGTTCAGCAGACTTGACATTCTCTATGACTGATGCTCGCTATGATGAAGATTGAGTGATTGATGCTTGCTATGATAAAGATTTAGTGAGATTCTGGGATGTCCAATTAGCACGTGAAGTTCCCATGCAGCACAGGCTGCGTTTTCCTCCCTGCCCTGGAAGAGGGCCAGGTCTACTTCCCCTTGTGATGACATTTTCACATGCAGACTCAGGGCTAAGGCCAGCAGTCTTTCACTTCACCACAGACGCCTCATCACAGAGAGGAGCTGAGTTTGAGGAACAAAAGAAAACTCTTCCAATAAGCAAAAGTTATCTTGCATCCCCAGTTCTTGGCTCAGCACTTGATCCGTTGTAGTGACACAGAAGAGGGAGGCGGTCAATGGACACTGGAGCCTCTCATTGTGACCCTGAGTGAGTTACTTCAGTCTCTGTACCTCAGTCCTTTTGTCTTCATCCAGGGAAAATAAGAGTACCTATTTGATAAAGTGTCATGAGAACTAACTAAATTATATATTTTAAAACTTTAGAATAGTGCCTGTAATAGAATATGCCGTATAAGAGAATTGCCTTATTTTATTAGACACTCAATAAAATAATGGTTGAATGAATGATGTAACATAAGCAATAAATGAAAATAATACAATTCATTTAGACAAGGATGAAGCCAGTATCATGGAGCTTGGTACAGAATACAAGAAGAGCATGGGCAGTGTCATGGCAGAAGCGAGGAGTTGACCACTTATCCTAGAACACCACACCCTCTCCCACAGCAAGGATAAGCAGGAGTCAAACTGCACAATTCAGTCTAAACATCCTTTATCTCATTTGCCTGTCTGCTCATGGAGGACAAGTATTAAATGAAGCCTAGACTGCAGTCCAGCAAGGCAAGGGAAGGAAGAGAGAGTCAAGGAAGGGAAGGGGAAGGAGGGGAGGCGAGGGGAGGGGAAGAGAAAAAGGAAGGAAGGAAGGAGAAAAGGGAAGGGAAGAAAGAGAGGAAGCAAGGAGAGAAGAGGAAGGGAAGAAAGGATGAAAGGAAGGGAGGGAGGGAAGGAAGGAAGAAAGGAAGGAAAGGAAGGAAGGGAGGGAGGGAGGGAGGGAAGGAAGGAGAAAGGGAAGGGAAGAAAAGATTAAAGGAAGGGTGGGAGGGAGGGAGGGACAGAAGAAAAGGAAGGAAAGAAGAAAGGAAGGAAGGAAGGAGAAAGGGAAGAGAAGAAAGGATGAAAGGAAGGGTGGGAGGGAGGGAAAGAGAGAGAGAGAAGGAAGGACAGAAGAAAAGGAAGGAAGAAAGGAAGGGAGGGAGGAAGGAAGGAAGGGAGGGAGGGAGGAAGGAAGGAGATAAGAAAGGATGAAAGGAAGGGAGGGAGGGAAGGAAGGAAGGAAAGAAGGAAGAAGAAAGGAAGAAGTAAGGAAAGGAAGGAAGGGAGGGAGGGAGGGAAAAATGTATCTGCCCACCCTAGCTAGCTACAATTCTGCCTAGAGTCTTCCAAATGGCACAGGAGGAGGAAAAGTCTGTCCAAAGACAGATACTGCAAACAGCGCACTGTGTCAGAGCAAACCGTAGGTAAAACCAAGAGAAAGCTTTCCCACACTGGTGAGCTGGAGATAATCTCGCAGCCCCTGGGCATGTGAGGTCTGGTGATAGGAGTGTTGCTTGATGTCTTGGTCCTGTTCTTACGGATATTGGGTTTCATGTTTGGCCTAAATTCCAGCCAGTTTTCAAACAGAAAATTATGGATGTAGGCAGCCTTTCTGTTTGTCTAACCTCAGTCCCAGCTTCCTCTAATGAGACGTGACATGAATTACCTAGGCTATAGCTGGGTGGGGAGGTAATGGGATGGAGATGGAATGTTGAAGAAACACAGGGTTTCCCTTCCAAACTCCCCCCTCCTGCTCTAGGAATTTTCCAAGTCTTTTAAGAATGTACTTTTTGAAGATTCAGCTATTTTTCATTTTTGTATTGATATATAATACACGTACATATTAATGGGGGGCGTGTGATATTTTGTTACATGCATAGAATGTGTAATAATCGAGTCAGGGTATTAGGAAGAATATGTTTTCTTCTTGCGTGTGTTTTGGTTCAATTTCATCCTATTGCTCCTCTTCTCTTCTTCACATGACAATAATTACAACACCAACTTCCATCAAAGCGACGGTTTCTCCCATCCCCCAGCTGGGGGCAGGTTCGGGTGATGGCTGCAGTGGGAACCATGGGTGTGTGTCTCCACCTCCAAATCCTTCCCCTGCATCCCCACCCACCTCCCCGATACTCACTGCGCTGTCTTCACCCGTCCAGGGCTGAAGTGGACCAGAGGCCAGGGCCTAGCAGGGAGCTTTCATGCCTGAGCTGTCATGGGCTGGCCTTGGACTTTGGGTTTTTTGTTTGTTTGTTTTTGTTTTGAAATGGAGTTTCTCTCTTGTTGCCCAGGCTGGAGTGCAATGGCACAATCTCGGCTCACTGCAACCTCCGCCTCCCAGGCTCAAGTGATTCTCCTGCCTCAGCCTCCCGAGTAACTGGGATTACAGGGATGCACCACCACACCTGGCTAATTTTGTATTTTTGGTAGAGACGGGGTTTCTCCATGTTGGTCAGGCTCGTCTTGAACTCCCGACCTCAGGGGATCCACCTGCCTCAGCCTCCCAAAGTGCTGGGATTACAGGCATGAGTCACCCTGCCTGGCTGGGCTGGCCATGGTTTTCTCTGGGACTAATGGGTGTTTAAGCCCACCTCTTGTCCTTGCAGGGTGCCTTGTGGGTTTTTTGCTGGGGATCTCTGGGGATTTATCTCTGCAATTCCCTGGTCCAAGAGATGTCTCTCTTCCAATAAGCCATTTCAGGCACCTCTCTTTCCCTGAGCCCCACACCCCTCTTTTGTTTCCCTCTCCCTCCTCCTACAGCCTGGAGGTGAGGTCATTGAGGGATTTCAAACCTGCTTCTCAGACACCCCTTGTGCATGTCCTGCTTAGAGGCCTAACTCCTTGAGTGGCGTGTGGGAGAGGGTGGGAATAGTTGCCATCTATTGCCTGGAGCCCTCAAACGACACTGAGAAAGAGCCCGCTTTTAATACCCTGCAAGATGTTACAAGGAAGTATGGCTCAAGATGGAGGTTAGGACAGATATTTACAATGTCAGCCTTGGATTGTTTCTGTTTCCTTCATGTAAGTGGTATTTCGCCTTTTTTGCAAAGGAAAGAATGATAAGGAACAAAATCAGAAAGGCCCCTTAGGTCACCTTCCCATCTCTTTCTCCAGCTCACCATCCTTTGCCCCTTCTGCTGGGGCTCATGGTGGCCTCAGCCTGCCTTCTGCCCTGGGAGTGTCACGACAGCATCTATTATACAGTGTGACCTCAGTCACGTCCCCAGCTGAAACCTGTCTGTCCTGTGGCCTGTCCTTTCAGTATTCTGCCAAATGAACAAAATAAAGCAATGAAAATGAGTTTATTTAGTGCCAGCAAGTGGCAGTTCTGAGGTCAGATGCACATGTGAGTGGACTTCCAGGGGACAGACAGGCCAGCCTCACTAGTGGTAATTTCAGGCACTGGGCAAAAGATTGGACAAATAGTTGAGGCCGGCTCATCAGGATCACCCTGGGCTGCAATGACCAGGCTGCATGTCCGTGCCAGCACCCAGGATTCCATCAGGAGATCATTTACCCTTCACGTGGCTTTTCAGCATGCATCCGCGCGGGCACTGGCTTCATCTATGAGTCTGCTCCTGTGACCGTGCATACACGTTGGCTCGGCAGACTCTTCCCCCTCCTGCTGCTGCCTCCATTATCACCAACACTGCAAAATGTTCTCTCTCCAATGGAACATTCCCCCCATTCCCGCCACCCCTTTCACACCCTGCTGTTCGTGACCAAGAACACCCATTTGCTTTGATACATCTTGCTGTGGCATGTCAAGACCATTGACTTTCCTGAAACCTGGCTCAATGGATTCCTATGCATTTTCCTTCCAGGGTTTTAATGCAAACATTTTCATTGAGACTGGAAGGAAATGTTCAAAGCAAACAAACAAAAGGCTTTGCCAGCCTTAAGTGTGCTGCTCCCTGAGGCATCAAAAGCAGCAGCTTCGGAGAGTCTAGAACTGAAGAGTGTCTTCTACATCTCCCTCTCCTGCACACAGTTTGTTGACTGCCCCCCATCCCTGAGGCATCTTTCCCCCCTCAACTCCCACCCCACATCCAGCAGCCATTAGGCCATTCCTGGATGCTGAGGGTACCGTGTCATCCACTATCCTGACAACAACCTGCTCTTTCTATGTAATATTGTTCCATAGGTTTTCCTCTTGCTGTTCTTTTTTTTTTTTTTTCCTTTGAGACAGAGTCTCATGCTGTCTGCCTCCCAGGCTGGAGTGCAGTGGTGCAATCTCAGCTCGCTACAACCTCCACCTCCCAGGTTCAAGCCATCCTCCTGCCTCAGCCTCCCAAGTAGCTGGGATGACAGGTGCCCACCACCATGCCCAGCTAATGTTTGTGTTCTTAGTAGAGACGGGGTTTCACTATGTTGGCCAGGCTGGTCTTGAACTCCTGACCTCAGGTGATCCACCTACCTCTGAGTCCCAAAGTGCTGGGATTACAGGCATGAGCCACCGTGTCCCGCCTTCTCTTGCTGTTCTTTTCAGTTCACCCTTAATTCACCATTTCCCATTCCTTTGGTCCAATGTCTCGGTCCCTCAGGGCTGGCCCAGAGCCACATATACTCAGATCTATGGCTCTCCCTTTCCCTGCCCTGCCTATATGGCTATTTCCACAGTTCCCTTTCAACTGGCTGGAAGATGCTGCCAGGAGATTGGAAGGCAGATGGAAAGAAGGGCCAGGCATTTCTCCTCACCTCCCCTTGACCATGGATGAAGGCTTCAGCAGCGGCTGAGTCTCCCACTGGATGGGTCTCCAAGGTTCTAGACTCCACTAGGTGACCTGGCCCCTGGCTCTAATAACTCGGCTCCTCCCTTGACCCCTTAGGCCAGCCTCCCTGCCTCCCCCTTTGTGGTTCTTAGCCCCTCCGTCCCCTGTGCCCAACTCCTGGTGACATCAAAGCAGCAGCTCCAGAAACTCTAAAATTGCTCAATCTAACAATTTCCTATATTGACATTCTCTTCTTTTCAAAGACAGAGTTTTCCATTTTCCTGTTGGGTTCAATGGATGTATCTTCCTTTGGGATTTCCAAACTGCTGTAATCTGATAAAGTCCTGTAGGACAGGCAAGCTGGGCCCTGAAATCACACCAGTTGACTTTGGTTTTCATCCTAGCTCTGACATTTCTAGCTGTGCTGCCTTGGCCAACTTACTAAGCCCCTCTGAGCACCAGTTTCTTCACCACTGAAACAGGGATAATGAAACGCATTTCCTCCATGGAAGTAGCCTTTGATAACCTCACAGCACATGGCCTGCCAATGGGTAGGTGCTCAGTGAACATTCATTCCCCTTGCTTCTCCTAAAGTGGTCATAACTGTGAGAGTATGAATGCATATCCCTTCCGGGGAAACATATTTGTATTCTAACAATGGAAAGAAATACTTGGCCAGGCATGGTGGCTCATGCCTGTAATCCTAGCACTTTGGGGGGCCGAAGCGAGGAGATTGCTTGAGCCCAGGAGTTCAAGACCACCCTGAGCAATATAGTGAGACCCTGTCTCTATTTAAAAAAAAAAAAAAAAAAAAAAAAGACCTAAACTCGACAATTAATTTTGAATATGTAAGTCTCCGACACCCATGGCAAGACAATCAGAAAGATATTTTTGGACCAGCAACCTTTGAGAGCCTTGAAATCACTCCAAGGAGGGGGTCACCTACTCCGCGGGGACTGGGGAGGGCTCCATTATCTGGGAGGAGGCTTTTGTGCTAATATGAAAAGTGATCCTTCTCCCCGCCTCCCAAGGGAAGGATGTGGAATGTGTGAGACTCAGATGTGTGGGAGTCTGGCCCAGGGTTATTTTTGTTACCATTAACATTCTCTTCTATATGTATTTTAACCTTAATCAAATGCATGTGTTTTTGTTTTATTTGCACTTAGTTCATCAAAATGTCCCTTATGATCTGAACTATGCCATAAGCCTAAGCTCCACAGTGAAACACTCATTAATACCCCTGGGAAACAGGAAGTTGCATTTAGTCAAATGTAAATAAATTCAGCTCCCCGGGGCTTTGCCCTGGCCTGGGTCAGAGAAGAGGACAGTGGCTTCTCAGTCCATCTCATCATTGTCCCCCCCACCGACCCCAAAACTGAGCTGGAAGAATGACATGCCGTGACTCTCAACAGATAAAGTGTTCTGAAAGTGTGCCTATCCTTTGTTCAAAACCGTTACAACGTCAAGTGCAGTTTTACAAAGAAATGAGTTTCTCTTGCTTTGGCTCAATCATCGGGTATCGTTCCAGATTTTTTCCCACCCCCCGCCAATGCTCTGAAACCAGGCAGTGCAGGCAAGAAGCAAGAAAGAGAGAAAAAAGAGATGTAAACCTAAACCACCTCACCAAAGACGCCGTGTGAGCCGTGGTTAAGAGGTTTCCGTCTCCCCGTCTCTCTCACCCTCTCACTGACTCTCCTACTGCACACATGGAACCAATTACGAACAAAGCCCAATTGTTGTATATTTGGAATTTCCCACATCAACCTGATGCTTTCTTTAACTGACTCGTGATGTGTGTCTGCGCTGGAGGGCTGAACCCAGGTTTCCAGCCCGTGCGCTGCTGCCGCCGCCGTGGCACCCTTCGCCTCTTTCTTCTGATTCATTTTCTCATAGTACAAAACTCTGCTTCTTTCCTTCGCACCCCACCCCCATTTCCTATTAGGTGTGTTTGAATAAACAGAACCTTCATTTCCGTCATTTTCAATGAAGTAAGCACACTGGTCTGCAGACAGTGTCTCAAAGCTGGTGCCCAGAGCGTATGAGTGGTATCAAGGCTAATACCAAAAACCACGGGATGATTACAAAGGAAATGGCCATCCCTTTCATAAAACTCAGAACAGACAGAAGCAGTGTATGTAGAAATGCTTTAAAAAGAAAAAGAAAAAAAAAACCCAAACATACCCCATATCCTGGAAGCACCTTACTTGATTTTCTTTGTAGTAATTTTTTCTGCTATGGAAATAAGCCGATTTCAGGAGGAGTAGAGATGGGGAAGGTAGGGGAAAATATTACAGAAAAGTTAACGTTTGAGACCATTTATGCCATCCATCAAAGAAGGCTGTGTGATCTGAAATTACACAATATGATCAGAAAATAATTGACAGACGTGATGGATGAATCTGCTTCGACACAGCCGTGTAAAACGAAACATAATTTCTTCTTGTTTACTGGCACACGTAAAAATAAATGTTCTATAACACAAACATTTAAATGAGAAGGTGCCAAACACAAGCCTGTTCGATTTGATTTGATTCATCTGAACCATGTGATTGCAACAGTTTCTTCTTCTTTCCCTCATACTTTCTCTCTGTGGACTGTATTCACATATACAGTGAGTAATACCCGTGCGTTTATTTTTATGCGTTAGAAAGCAGGAAGGGTAAACAGATACGCATGTCTGATGCTCAGTTTTATAGATAGAATTTATGATTTCAAAGAGGTCCCTGATGTGTTCTGTCTGTGGTCTTCAGATATTGTTCCTCCGTTCAGAAGGGAGTGAAATCAGAGTGTAGGATTCTGCATTAATCTCCACTCCAGATGGTGATATTCCAAATAGTCTTTTTAAGGTGAGCATGTGACCTACTGTACGGCCGAGGGGCTTGGGAGTCACGTGATGGAATGAATAATACGTCTGATAGAGCTTTGATTAGACAACTGACCTGATTACCATCTGCAGCCACGAGAAGCAAAGTTGACATTTCTGGATCACTCTCCCCAGACGCGTCACTTGCCCACAAGCGGGACACGGCAGTCTCGCTGAGCCAGCTGTGCAGAGGGACAGATGGAAGAAAGCTAGAGATGCTGCTTCGTGGGCGCTGAAGTTGCAGAACTTGGGCTGGTTTTCTTTCTTCCCATCCCCCCTCCTCCTGACAAACCACATCTTGACTCAGATGGTCGAAAGAAAAACTCTTTCAGTTATTTGATATTTGGGAACCCTCCAGGAGACCATAACTTATTTTTGAGGGAGGCTCCTTCTCTCCCTTTGCTGGGAACACACACACACACACACACACACACACACACACACACACACACACACAGCTGTACACCATGGTGGTTCAGGCTGCAGTGGCTCCGAATAGATCCCAAAGACTTTTACTGAAAATTCCTTATGGATCTCTGAGAAGGCGCAGCGTTGAAAGGGTAAGCTACGTGGCGGGTTGTTTGCTTCTCAGTTGCTCCAAAGACAGGAAGATGTTTGTTTTCATTGTATACCGCGTTACTTCTGTTACTCACGTTTCCTGAACAGTTGGAGTTCCTGGGACTGTAGAATACTATCTCATCTGTAATTTTAGTTTTTTAACAGATAATGATGAGAAACCTGAAACAGTAATTTTTGTAACTTGTGGATCTCAGATGGGGGAGGGGTGCTCTTAGAGATGAAATATGAGGGAAAAGATTGGGATGGAAACTTCCCCCTGGAATGGGTTTGAAAGATTTGAGTGCTTGCTGAGAAATGCATGGGGGCTGTGAAAATGATTTCTTCTGTGTTTACTGAAACATACTCATTAGAGCAGCAGGGCTGTGAATTTCTTCTACTGGGTGACAGTGTCTAAAAGGGAGGTGATGGTGATGTTAAGGAGCTTCAAAGCTTTGGTAGTTTAAATTATGCAGGCAGTTGATTACATGCTTTTTTCCCCCCAAATACATTGCTATCATTTGGGGTTTATTTGTTTTTAATGCTATGGATTTTGGCTTAAAATTACTCTGTTAATTTCCTGAAAGCATGTTTACTTTATGGAAGCCCCTAGTAGAGAAAATCCTATAAAGTAATAATAAGGATTTGTCCTTCTCTGGAGTAACAGATGCATTTTTGGGGCTGACTCTAGTTAATGCAAAGCTGGTTGTCATTAGGGTGACAGGCTCAACATGCAGGGAGAATCCCTACACCCACAAAGTATATGGTGGTTCTGTTGGTCTCAGAAACCCCAAAAGCCCATGTTTGAATTGTGGCAAGTCCTTCCATGAGTTTTCGTCACCTACATAGACGTCTTCAGTTAAGGTGTAGTCCAAGACCTAATAAAGCAAATAGCATCACATGAAGCTCTCTTGTTAGATCAGCTATCCGCAGCATCTTATAAAGAAGATCAGAACTGAATTCAAGTGACTTTTTCTGGTTGGTATAACTTACTACTCAGCGATGTTTTATTTAAAAAAAAAAACTAAAGGTTTAAAAATGTGAGGGGCTAACTAAATACTTAGGTCGGGTTGATTTCCTGAGTTTTGATGAGTTACATTTTTTCTGCCATTTGAATAATGAAAAAAACGTTGCTTTCTATTCTGGTTGTGTGTCGGTCTTTATTTTGAGACTTATTTCTTGTTCTGAATGTCAAGATCATCAACTAATATGTATTAAATGCTTACTGTGTATTTCATGTTATTCCAATAGCTTAGATCTTAGGCCATCAGTGACAGCAAAATTTACACATTGATCAGGCTGCTATTGAGTGTGATGTTAGGTGTTAGTGAAAACTCTTTGGTCTGTATGGTAACAAAATTTTTATCACGTGTTCTATTATTAAGATATTTATTCACAAATGCTAACATGGAAGTGTGAATTGTGTGCCTTAGGGCTGTGTGAATGGCCACATTGAGCACATAGTCTTCCTTTATAGACGCGCACACACACACACACAAATCCAGTCGCCTGGAAACCTCCATTTATACCATTATGTTCTCCAGATAAAGTGTTTAATAAATCATGTATGTTTGCATAAATTCAAATATAGGCAGTTACCACTTCTGTTAGTCATTGTTTACTAATTTAAGAAAAATTGACAATATGGGAATATAGTATCATACACAAAACATGTCTGTTATTGGGTATGTTTGCACACACTTGCCTTCAAAGCACACAGGGCTATTTTCTGCCCTTGAGCACACCCCACCGTTACATGGGCCTTAACATGAGTATGGTCTGAATGGTTTGGGGCCCTCCCGCGCTGCACATCCTTGGAACATTGGGTCTTCCCCGTGAAGGTGAGGTAGCACCTCACCCTCCAGAGCAATGGAGAGTGGAACTAATTGAAATGTATGATGTCCTGTCAATTCCACTGGACATCTAACACTGTGGGTCAGAGGAATTGACAATTCTGTGACAATTTTCAGAATGGAGTCCTGTGTTTATAGAAGAGGAGGAGAGGTAAGGGCAAACACTGAGAGCCAGCACCCTTCCATTGGGAGTGTAAAGCAATAGCAGTTTGTTCAGTTCCATCAGCGGCTCTAAGGGCGCCAGGCATTTGAGTTGGTTTCCATTGTCTCACAGCATCTAATGACGCGGAAGACCTTACATTTCTGTAAGGCTTTCAGTTCATTCCCCTGCTTTACCATTGCGAGTCACTAACAAGGCACAGAGCCCAGGGGTTACTACCCTTGTCCTGTATAAACAGGGAAACCAAGGCGTGGAGAGTTTTAATCTTCTTTATGGGAATATACAGTCAATGACAGAGCAGGACCTAAATCCAGGGACCTGGCATTGTATGTTCTTGCCATAGGATCATGTTTCGTGTTTGCTCTCTGGAGGAGCGATGGCATGGCAGCCTGGCCCTGAGAAAAGGGTTATAACCAACTCGTTACCTGTGTTCGCATTAAAGGAAATATAGAAGATATGCCATTAAGAGGTGGTGAAAACCAAAGAGAAGAACATGATTTCCAGGACACTGACAGTCCTGTCCCCTTAGGTGCCCAGGTTCGACAATTGCTTCTGTATCCAACTGCTAGAGGTTGAGTTGAAAGAAGGAACTGCAACTTCTTAACCCTGCAACTTAGACATCCACCAAATCCTGAGAGACCAGGCTTAGTTCTGGTTCATGCTTCTTCAGACTGCCAAGAGCCCGTCACTGTGCTAGGGAGGGTGGAAAACATAAAGGAAATATAAAATGGACTGGGTGTGATGGCTCACACCTGTAATCCCAGCACTTTGGGAGACCGAGCTGGTCGGATCACGAGGTCAGGAGATGGAGACCATCCTGGCCAACATGGTGAAACCCTGTCTGTACTAAAATACAAAAAAATTAGCCAGGCGTGGTGGTATGCGCTTATAATCCCAGCTACTCAGGAGGCTGTGGCAGGGGAATCGCTTGAACCTGGGAGGTGGAGGTTGCTGTGAGCCAAGATGGAGCCACTGCACTCGAGCCTGGTGACAGAGAAAGACTCAGGTCTCAAAAAAAAAAGAAAGAAAGAAAGAAAGAAAGAAATATAAAATGCCACGTTTGGTATGGGAGGAGAGATTAGGCCTGTAAAGTTTATATAAATAAAACAATTAGAAGTCAGTATAATACAGGCTAGAATTAAGCTACAAAATAAGTAACAAAGACAATTTAGGTGCTACAGAAAGCAGCAGGGTGGGGTGACAAGAGTGAGGCTTGTCTATTTGCTATTTACGAGTTTTACTATTTACTCTTTAACTATTGAATATTTACGAGTCATATGGCCTTGATAGAGTGACTCAAACTTTCTCAGCTTCGGTTTATTCATCCACACTGCCCACCCCTTTGCAGTGCTTGTAAAGGATCACCAAAAATGTATGCAAGGACGTAACACAATACCTGGCAATCATATAAAATGTAGTCCATAATGATAGGCATCATTTTTAAGATTGCCTGTCTTTGTGTATAAGAACATTTGGCTTGTATCTTTTTTTTTCTGTTTGTTTTTTTCTTGAGACAGAGTCTCGCTGTGTTGCCCGGGCTGGAGTTCAGTGGCACGATCTTGGCTCACTGCAACCTCCACCTCCTGGGTTCAAGTGATTCTCCTGCCTCAGCCTCCAGAGCAACTGGTATTACAGGCGTGCGCCACCACACTTGGATAATTTTATATTTTTAGTAGAGACGGGGTTTCACCATGTTGGCCAGGCTGGTCTCGAACTCCTGACCTCAGGTGATCCACCTGCCTTGGCCTCCCAAAGTGCTGAGATTATAGGCGTGAGCCACCGCACCCAGTCTTGTATTTTTAATAAACAGATGACAATTTTTTATATTTAGACACACCTCCCTGTCTCCTGGGGAGATCCTTTAGGGCTATTCGCTTGCTAAAGCCAAGACAAGCAGTATATTGTGTCGTGGTGATAACTTTTCTGGGACTCCCAATTTTATGTAAGACACGTGGAAAACAAAATTTTTCTAACTGACTACACGTGAATCCCAAGTAACTCAACTTACTCAAGCCCACATCCTTCTGTATGGTCTCTTCCTTCTAAAGCCAGATGGTTTTTATTCCAGAAGTAAAGTAAAAATGAACTTCATGGAAAATTCTAATAAATGTAAGAACAAAACATATAAATGAGTTAAGGAAAGAGAAAATGTGGAAATTTTTTCCTGGGCGTTTGCCTTGGGGCAGGGAGGAAGTTTTTATTAAACTGCTATAACTTTGCAATACGAGGAAATGGTTTTATGTTGGAGATTACCTTTATAGATGCAAAGCCTAAGAATGAGTGAGTGAACCTTTTATGTGGCCCACCCCATGTTGTCTTAGTTTGTGGTTTTAAGTGGAGGTGAAATCTGCTAGGCTTCTGTCTGTATTCTCTGCTGCTGTAGTTTGGGCTCCAGGAAGCTGAGAAATGTATATTTCTTCACACCCTGAGATGCCCGCCTATGAGGGCTCTGACCCAGTCGTGCAAATACTTACAGAGTTGCTGTATCTCCGTTTTCACCCACTGATTTTCCAGCTGTAAGATCACCTGTTGAAGTGGGAGCATAATTTCCTGCATTTACTGGATTGCTCGTCTGCCCCGTTGACTTATCATCTCTAATATCCACACCCACAGACCCCCAAGCTGGACTGGACATCACTGTTCTCTTGAACATCTCAACACCTCAAATCCAGCATGTCCACGATGAACTTCGTCATCTCTCCTAATAATCCTGCTTCTCCTCCAACACCCCCAGCTTCCTAAAACCCAAACTAGACCCTGGCGTCTTCCTGCCTCCTCTCTTTCCATCGTCTCCTTCTCACAGCCACAAGGCACTGTCCATTCCAGCTCTGAAACGTCTCTCCCCGTCCTGCTCCTCTATTCCGTGGTGCAGCCCGCCACCATCTCTTGCCTGCGTGTTGCCTTCTCGCCGTGGCCAGTCTTGCTCCCCTCAATTCACGCTCTGTGCTGCAGCCACTGTGCTCTTTCTAAAACCGAGGGGTGATTGTGTCACTCGTCTACTGAAACCCTTAAGTGGCTCCCTGCCTCAGGATAAGGACAAATCACAAGGCCTTTCCTAATCACAGCCCTCCAGCCTCACCTCTTCCCATGCTTTACCCTGGGAATGTTATATTCCAACCATGCGTGGACATGTTTGCTGTTCCTCCAAACTACGGAGCTTGCTCTTGCCCCAGGAACTTTGCGTGTGTTTTCATCTTCCTGGCAATTTCTGCCTCCTCCCTCCACCCCCTTTACTTCTTTCAGCCTAAAGCCAATTCCACAGGAAGCTCTTCCAGGCACCCCATCCCTTCCCCAAGTCTGAGTAAATGCTCTCCCTGCTGGCTCCCGTAGTACTCTAGGATCCCTTTACAATAGCACAAATCACACTGCATTGAAACCACTGGTTTGCTTCAGTCATAATCCTCCGTACGATGGCAGGCATCTTGAGGACAGGGAACACCCCTGGGTTCCTGGTTCATAACAGGAGTGCAATAAATATCCACTAGATGACAGAATGAATGAAATCTAAAAGTTCATATAAACTGTCAGTGAGCAAATTCGAGAAGAGGATCAGAATTAAGACCTACACTGGAACAGCCTCCATCCTCGTGCTAACCTACCACAAGTCCCATTATCTCTGGTGGAAAATGTGTTCACTCTTACGTGTCAGTACAAGCGGAGAAAGCGAAATGCTCTTTTCTTATTTATTCGGAACTCTAAGACCATGCTGTACATCTTTAAGTGGAACAAAGTTAATGCATGAACAGCCAATCAGACTCAAATCATAGATCTCTTCACAAAGTAGTACAAATCTGATGATTTTATTGGGGGAAAAATGAGACAAGAAAGCATTCTCTTTTATCACAATTATTCCAATACTTTAGGTGAAAGGGTTTTTGTGTGTCTGGGAAAGACTGAAATGGTGGGATATTTCTGGAGCGATATTTTTAACACAGCATAAATTAAACGTTTTTGTACCCACATCATTCATTATATGATGTGTTATTCCAGGTTGACGTCTTGCCAGTCTATTATTTTGCAAACCATTACATTATCACAGCTGCTAAGCTGCATAACTTAAGAATTCGGAATACAACAGAGTCTCTATCGTTGAGTGTGTGCTGCTTACATTCTGAATGTATTCATGCAGGGAAGTGTGAGACGTTACCAAAAACACATACAGCAGACGGCTTTCAGTGGATATTTATTACCATTGAGCGCAGGCAGCCAAGAACTGTTCAGACAGATCAGTGTATTCACACATATTATTAGCCAGCCCCCTCATCCTGCATGGGGTTTTGTTCCTTCTATAAATATACGCCTCTCTGGAGAAAAAGAACACAGACTACTGGGGACTCCAATTCTCTGGTTCATAGAATGCATTGAAGGCCATTTTCCCTGCATTGGTTAGGCCCGTGCAATTTTAAGTGACCCAAACTTGGTGAACCGATATTTATTTTGTTTTGTATAGCAGCTTATGTCATGTTAAGCCATTGACTTCTCATCTTGGGTAGAATGACATTGCTTATTGGCTCAGTGTGGGGAAGGAAAGGCTGTCTCTATGGGTACCACTCCAGAGTTTTCATTCCTCAAGCTGGTGTGGAAAGCAGGATTGCAAATATCTATGCAAATGGTCAGGACTCCCAGGCGTTTCAGCATCCTATGCAAAATGGCAGCTCTCAGGCTGGGCCTGAAACTGAGCTATGGTTCTCTTCTTTGAATAGCTTGTCCCCTCGTCATGCCTCACCATCATGCCATGGGTCATGTTAAAACAATGCTTTTCAACTTTGGTGTTGCATTGGAAACACTCAAGGAGCTTTTAAGAACCCATCTGTACCCCAGACTATGTACATCAGAATCTCTGGGGATAGGATCCAGGCATCAGTATTTAAATCCCCAGGTGATTCCAACCTGCAGCCAACACTGAGAACAGCTGCCCCAAGGAAATAATATTACCAAGATCGATGATTTGGGCAAGATGCTAGCATAAGGAAACCAGCTAGTTTTTGTGTTTTCTGGTGACTTTACATAAAAGAGAAATAAATGGGTTGGTTGGGTTGGGTTTTTGGGTCATGTCATTCTCAATAGGGGAAAAAAACTATTTAGGCTCCTTGAAAGTTGGGTCCATATTCCTGGCACATCCTATGCAGTGTCCAGCACATTGAGGAGAGTCTCTGGATAGTTACCTGAGGCCTTCCGAAGTCATAGAGTCTAGAATTGTGCATGACTTCCTTCCAGGCTATTTAAGATCAAAAACATCCAATCTAGCTTCTCCTGTATGCTTCTTTTCTTGACTGGTGCATGGACAAAGTCCCTTTTGTGTGTCTTTCAATCTGCCATATTGCAAATATGTACACAAAGTCAATCGTGTTCTCAAGGAGAAAGGGGACATAGCTTTCTTCTCTTTTTTTTTTTTTTTTTTTTTTGAGGTGGCGTCTTGCTCTGTCACCCAGGCTGGAGTGCAGTGGCATGATTTTAGCTTACTGCAACCTCCTCTTCCTGGGTTCAGGTGGTTCTCCTGCCTCAGCCTCCTGAGTGGCTGACAATAAAGGCATCCATCACCATGCCTGGCTAATTTTTGTATTTTTAGTAGAGACAGGGTTTCACCAGGTTGGCCAGGCTGGTCTTGAACTCCTGACCTCAAGTGATCCACCCGCTTTAGCCTCCCAAACTGCTGGAATTACAGGTGTGAGCCACCACACCTGCCCCGGGGGAAATGGCTTTCTTTAAATGCTTTGAAACAGATCTCTTAGAAACTGCTCTAACATAATGAATATTATCCACCTGTGTAATATAAGACTTTCTTTGAACACATAGTTGAAAACAATCCACTTTTATTTGTATTTACTCATCAATGAGCCTCAGAGGATAATATTATCTATCCTACATCCATAAAACTATATAGAAGAAACTGTGCAATGGATCTTTATTCTAATCTGGGAGTGGATGAACCACATCTACGGATTTTTAATTCTTTTTTGTCTTCTCTTATTGGCCACTCAATAACTAATACTTCAAAGGACTTGGTCAGTTTTTCTACTAGGTCTCAGAGCCTACAACAATACCTGGGATAAAGATAGGATAAACAAGTGTTTATTGAGTGAATGCTGACTACCTGAACAAAAAGAATACCTTTGTGGTTATAAACTCAAGCCTTTAATAAAACAGAATTGTCCTTCAAGGGCCAGGGTTGCAGTGTGCCTGTGCTTGTATGCAGACGAACATCCGTGTCATCACCAGTCCTAACAGTGACTTATTTTAAGATGCTAGCTCTTCTTGGTGGAGAACTTGATCATGAAAAACTTCCTAAAATCCTACTACACAATTAACACCTTTGGGTGCATGGGCAGTCCCTTTTCTTCCCAATCACAACCCTTGTGGGGATATTTTGAGATAGTACAGAAATATCCTTCTGATCATTTTCCTACATTACTTGCTAACTTTTCTCAAAAACGCTATAGGCTTCCAAGCCTGACTGGCTTTCCTCATTAACATTCCCATAGAGTGATTGGAGGGATTGGAGGGATCATTCAGACACAATTTCTCCAATCACTCTATTGGAACATTAATGAGGAAAACCAATAAGGGTTAGAAGTATATTGATCATTGCTAGAAAATGCGGTCCTAGTCCAACCACACAGAATCAGTCCCAGAATACAGATATCCCTGGGAATGGAATACCTAGGACCTAACATTTTATTTATTAATTTCACAGATATTTATTTAACATCGACTACATGCCAGACAGTGTTCTAGGCCCAAGAGACACAGCTAAGTCTGCGCTTTCGTGAATTGGTAGTACGTCAAGTGGTGATGAGTTCTCTAAAGAGAAATAAAGCAGAGTAAGGAGCAGGGGGAGACGGAGCGTGCAGCATGGTTATATAATGTGGCTCTCAAGGAAGGACAGGGAGGGAGATGGGAGCAAGCCACACAGCCATGTGGGGAAAGAACATCCCACACAGAGGGCACAGCAAGTACAACAGGCCAGAGGCAGGAGTGGGCTTGATGTACTTGAGGGATGGCAAGCAGGTAGCTGGAGCAGAGTGAAGGGGTGAGATGGGGGTGGTCAGAAGTGAGGTTAAAGAGTCAGAGAAGAGTTAGGAGCCCAGCTGGCACAGGCTGTGCAGGCCATGAGAAGGACCTTTGGGTTTTACTCTGGGTAAGACTGAAAAAGATCAGGGGATCAGGGGCTGAAAGATGACGTTAGCTACTAGGTTGATAGAGAAGAAGGCTGGAATCAGGGTGTTGCATGAGGTTACTAGTACAATCATCTTAGTGACAGATGATGATGATTTAGGCCAGCGGATACCCTGGAGGTGGTGAGAAGTGAATGGACTCTGAATTTATCTAGAAGGGAGAGCTGGCAGGATTTCCTGACAGATTGGGTGTGGAGGGAGAAAGGAAGACAGGAGTCAAGAACGGCCCCCTGAGCAGCTGTAGACTGCAGCTGACGCTTACCAAGATGGGAACCACTGCAGGAAGAGCTGGTCAGTGATGACAGCCTGGGCGGGAGAGACTGGGTTCTATTCGTGATGTGCTAAACTTGAGATAATGAGTAAAAATTCAAATGGAGATATACAGTAGGATGTTAAAAACATATGTTTTCTCTTTGGGTGAGAGGTCTGTATTGGAGATAAGATGTGGACATTATCAGGGGTTCACTGGAGCTGGCTTGAGAGGCTCTCCAGAGCCAATTATGTGATTTCTTCTCAACTCTACATTCAGTGATGACAGATGAGCAGTTTGAAATGGGCCATGGCAGGGAATTTACACCATGGAAATTGGCAAACATTACAAAGCAGGGCTTTTATTCCCCTAGAGAGTTGATAAGAGTTACACATTCTCCAGTATACCACTGGAGATTGGCATTTAAAGCTAGAGGACTATATGATAACATCTGGGGAATGTGTGTGGATGGAAAGAAAATTGTCAGCACACTGGACCTGAAGCCACTCCAAAGCTTAGAGATGGGCTCCATGTGGTGGAACCAGCACTGGAGATGAGCAGAGAGCAGCCAGTGAGGTAGAAAGAGGATCCCAGAAGGGCATGATGGATTTTCAAATGCTGCTGATAGTCAAGTGAGATAAGGACTAAGAAATCACCTTATTGCAGCATTGTCATAAAAGATTGCACAAATTGCATGCATCAAAATTGCTTTGTGTTGGCCGGGCTTAGTGGCTGTAATCCCAGCACTTTGGGAGGTAGAGGTGAGCAGATCACTTGAGGTCAGGAGTTTTGAGAACAAACTGGGCAACATGGCAAAACCCCATCTCTACAAACAAATTAGCTGGGTGTGGTGGCACTCACATGTAGTCCCAGCTACTCTGGGGGCTGAGATGGAAGGCTTGTTTGAACCCAAGAGGTCGAGGCTGCAGTGAGCCAAGATTACATCACTGCAATCCAGCCTGGGTGACAGAATAAGATATTATCTCAAAAAAAAAAAAAAAAGAAAAGAAAAGAAAAGAATTGCCATGTGTTTCTAAGTACAGTACATGGATCAGATGCCTGGTCTCCACCTCAGACATCCTGAACCTAATGCTCATGGGCATATAACAGAGAAGACAGTTTGAGAAGCAGTGCCTTAATATATAGTGTTCCAGAAAAACAGGCACAGTGGGGTAGAGAAAAGAACACAGCAGAGGAAGTGATGAATAATGCAGATGGGAAAAGAGAGAAACTCTTAGAACAATTTTTACTCACCCTAAGGTCAGTCCTGGACACAGAGAGCAATTAGAGACCATGGTAGAGACTCTTGGGGTGAAGATTATTACAACTAAGGCCAAGAGTGAGTTTTCTCCCTATAGCACCAAAGAAACAGCATGTTCCTCTTTTAAATATCCCTCCCTTCAGCCACTATGTCAGAAAAATGGAGCTGCAATTGTCCCTTAGGTCTTTTCCAGCTTCCACAACCCATGCAAAAAAAAAGGCAAGAGAGAAGATGAAAGACCAATTTCAGTATCATCTATTGGTCACCTATGTCAAAAGCCAGCACTCTACCCCTAAGTCTTAGGTGTCCTAAGATCTAGCAGAGGGAAAACCTGTTTTGTTTTGTTTTGTTTTGTTTTGTTTTGTTTTGTTTTGTTTTGCCTCAATTTTTTTCAATGGCTTGATGTAATCATGGGTCAGGGCTTCATAACCCAGCTGAGTCCCAGAATAGATTTAGAAAGTATAATTTAGGCTGGAGCCAGCCATCAACTGCCCGAAATGAGCAAGTCCTAATTTGAACTCCGAATTTGGGGATCGACATCTATTCTGTAAAAGCAAATGGATTTGGATCAAATTGGAAGAAATCATTTCTAAGATCTCGTGGAGTTCTTGTAGAAGAAAATCCTGCTATTATCTGCCAATTAGGGTGAAGGAAAGTAAGTAACAGGTGCCAACACTAGGAAGGAAGTCTTCCGTGTAGATCCTATCCAGAGAAGGCTTTCTATGTGGGATTCACCCAGTTACATTATGCCTAGTTCCCCTTCACCAGCCCCTTTAATTTTCCTTTAAGTAAGATGGTACCCCTGACACATGAAATTCATACCACTGAAAGAGAAGTTTAAGAAGCAGACAAGTGGTACAGGAGCCCTCCCACGAGTCTGTGCCGATTCTTGTGAATTTGCCTATTTTGTTACCAAAGTGAAATTTATGTGCCTGGGTGTAGATGAGCAGAGTCATCAGGGCTCTGCAAAAGCTGTTCCTGTGCAGGGGCAGTGACAGCCTTGCTTTGTCACTGGCCTGGTGCATAGGTGCCGGGTCCACCCATGTAGGCAGCAGTGCAGGTGTCAGGTTCTGGAATCACTGTCATTAAGATGTGAATCCCATATGCTATGGTCTGAATGTTTTTGTTCCTCTGCAATTAATATATTGAAATCCTATCCCCTAAAGTAATGGCATTAAGAGATGGGGCCTTTGGGAGACAGTTAGTGCCCTTATAAAAGAGGCCCTCAAAAGCTCAGTAGTCCCTTCCACCATGTGAGGACACAGGAAGAAAGTTTTGCTTGTAAGCCAGAAAGTGAGTGCTCCCCAGGCACCGAATCTGCCTTAATATTAGACTTTCCAGCTTCCAGAACTATGAGCAATAAACTTCTGTTGTTTGTAAGCTCCCCAGTTTATGGGATTTGTTATAGCAGCATGGAGAGGCTAAGATGCCATCCTTAAAGGGAGGACGAGGAGAGGGCGCTTCCTCCCCTGCTGAGCCCCAGCTCTGGGTTGTCAGGTAGCAGAGCATTTAGGGAGAGGAGCTCATTAAGAAAAAAAAAAAAAAAGCAGTCTGGAAATGCATACGGGCACTTGTCGATTTGAAATCAACAACGTAGAATGGTGTGCTTATGTCAGCCTACTGGTCAACTTGGCTTCCTGAAGACCAATTGTCAACGAGCAGAACCTCAGCTCCCAAGGCCACATGCCGTGCCATTTGACATTACTCTCGGGGCAATACCTAGATCCTATGGCTTTTGGTTCAGCCATAGCGTCCATCTGCAGATCATCTTGTGTTTGTCTGAGACAGAGTCTTGCTCTGTTGCCCAGGCTGGAGTGCAGTGGCACAATCTCAGCTCACTGCAACCCCCACCTCCCACGTTCTAGTGATTCTTGTGCCTCAGCCTCCCAAGCAGCTGGGATTACAGGCATGCACCACCACACCTAGTTAATTTTTGTATTTTTAGTAGAGACAGGGTTTCATTATGTTGGCCAGGCTGGTCTCAAAACTCTTGGCCTCAAGCAATCCACCTGCCTAGGCCTCCCAAAGTGCTGGGATTACAGGTGTGATCCACCACGCCCAGCCCAGATCATCTTACTCGCCCTTTATTTCTAGTAGAATCTCTGGTTGGGTGTTCTGTGTTCTCCTTGATGGTATTAAACCAACATACCTAAGAGCAAACAAAAATATCTTCGGGACTCTGTGACTTCCTTTTTTCTTCTGTCAATGGCCTTAAGGTGGCATAAGAGAAACATGTCTCATGTATCTTAGAGTGGGGCCCATGCAGTACAAGAAAACTTCTGTCCTTAAGAGATCCAGTGGTCAGAAACTGGCTAGGTTTGAGAGTTGGTTTCTATCTCAGATGGTACACATAAGACCTAATCCTTTATCTTAACTCCTGTGGCTGCGCTCCTGTTCACTCTAGTCACCTGAGAAAATACAACCTCGTAGAGGCATTATAAACTCAAATATGTGTCAAAGCCAGGCAGGGAAGAAATGTAGCAGGAAAATACAGAAAGAGGCACATTGCAACCTGGAAAACTCCTGCCCCAGCAGGTGAGGCCAGCTACTACTCAGCTGTGCCACGGGAAAACCAGGGCCGGTGTTCCTGGATCTTCTAACTTTACAAAAGAAAATGTATGTATGCGTTGTTCTTATATTTAAGGAAAAAATACATATGTCTGTATGTGTGTATGTGAGAGAGGAACAGAGTGAGAGATATGAAATATCTCTATTTTTATAATCCAACTTTAAAGAATAACATTGCCTAAGATGCCAGTTTTCAATTTCTACAAGTAAAAGAGCACTGTCCTGAGGCAGGCAGATGATCTGAAGTCAGGAGTTTGAGACCAGCCTGACCAACATGGTGAAACCGTGTCTCTACGAAAGTACAAAACTTAGCTGGGCATTAGCCAGGCATGGTGGCTTACACCTGTAATCCCAGTACTTTGGGAGGCCGAGGCAGGCAGATCATGAGGTCGGGAGATCGAGACCATCCTGGCCAACATGGTGAAACCCCATCTCTACTAAAATACAAAAATTAGCTGAGTGTGGTGGGGCACGCCTGTAGTCCCAGCTACTCGGGAGGCTGAGGCAGGGGAATTGCTTGAACCCGGGAGGAAGAGATTGCAGTGAGCCAATATCACACCACTGCACTCCAGCCTGGTGACAGAATGAGACTGTCTCAAAAAAAAAAAAAAAAAAAAAAAAATTAGCTGGGCGTGGTGGCACACTCCTGTCATCCCAGCTACTCGGGAGGCTGAGACAGCAGAATCGCTGAACCCGGGAGGTGAAGGTTGCAGTGAGCCAAGATCGCATCACTGCACTCCAGCCTGGGCAACGAAGCAAGGCTCCATCTCAAAAAAAAAAAAAAGGACTGTCCCACCCTAAATATCTACATATTCTCCCCTGCCCCAGGCTTGATTTTCATAAAAAGGAAACATCTTGCTACAAAAAAAACTAATCTTAAAATAGATCCTCAGGCCCTCCAGCTGCAGCATAATCCTAGTGCTAAATCAGAATATATATTTTTTTAAAAAAAAAAAACCTATTCTGACAGGTCAAATGCAAATTTTAAAATATATTTGAATACATTGAATACACGTCCTCCAGCTAGAGGAAACAGGAAGATGACATCCTCTTTGCTGAGAACATGGTTTTATTACCTAGCAATAGGACAACAACTTCAGAAGCAACTGAACCTCTGGTCTAATTATTGCCTGATAGAACAACTTATTAATATCATCAGCAACATTTTTTTGTTTTGGGAAGATATTCTCCATTGATGGTGTTAAAACAGAACAAATCAAGCAATTTCAGCCAATAGAACAATCACCCTACCACCTAGAGGTATATTTTGCTAACTCAAATTTGCAGACCAGCAGTGTGTGGTCCTACTTAAAACTAGAGATTGCACAAGAGCCAAACAGAGGTTCTTTTATGATCAAGGTGGCTGACTGGTAACAGCTGGACTAAAACCTTTCAGTTCTAAATCATCTCTTTCATGCTAGATGGAGTGGAATTCTGGGGTCCCAGCCAAGTCCTTGAGCAAGAACTTGAATGGATTCACAGCTCCTTTTCTGATGGAAACGTTGGCTAAACCCTGAGGAACTCTGGATCTCACCACGATGTCAAATAGAATGATGTCCCTGCTGGGGGAGGAGGCAAGTCAGGCTTCTCCATTGTCCCTTCTAAACAGCAGCTCACACTTGTCACATCCACAGCAGAGATGCAACTCTTCAGTTTTAAACTCAGGATGTCCTCACTGTCTCTTGCCGGATAAGGCAACTTTGAATTCACTACCTTCTAGCACTTAGCCCAAAGTTTTGTAGGGACATAGGACACGCAAGAGAAGCAGATCAATGGATATGTTGGCTAGTCATTACTTTAATCTCTTTACACTAAATCCTTTTTTTTTTTTTTTTTTTTTTTTTTGAGACAGAGTCTCACTCTATTGCCCAGGCTGGAGTGCAATGGCACAATCTTGGCACACTGCAACCTCTGCCACCGGGGGTCAAGCGATCCTCCTGCCTCAGCCTCCCAAGTAGCTGGGATTACAGGCATGCGCCACCATGCCTGGCTAATTTTTGTATTTTTAGTAGAGACAGGGTTTCACCATTTGGTCAAGCTGGTCTTGAACTCCTGACCTCAGGTGATCCGCGTGTCTTGGCCTCCCAAAGTGCTGGGATTACAGGTGCGAGCCACCATGCCTGGCCTACACTAGATCTTTATTAAATTAAATAATCAAATATCAACATAGTTATGCTGTATTTTCTCAACTCCCTGCTGAAATTATTTTACAAAGTTAAGATTTAATTCCTCTCTATTGAGGGCTGATGTTTAGTGTCATTTTGTTTTGAATGAGCAGCAACCTATTCTTGGCCTGGACTGGGGCTGGCCATGTGACCCGAGACTTAGGCAGGACATGGAGGTGGGTGGGCAGGACCCAAGGCCAGGCATGGGAGTTTGCTGGGGTCAGTGAGCCTGCAAGCCAACCCACAGACAGGCTAAAGACTCATGAATCCGGTTAGATGTGTCAAATATAGCTGGAGAATCAAGAAACAGGTGGAGACCAGAGAAATCAGAGGAGAAGAAACCAATTTAAAGCAAAGGTAGAAGCAAGTGTTTGTAGAAACCCCTTGAACCACTGGCATAGCTCCAGGCATGTCTAGGCATAGCCTGGGCTATAGGCAGAGATGAGGTGGTTAGGATGGTATCTTAGTATCATCTTGCTGAGAAAGCCAGCAGAAGAAACATCTATAAGCACGCTTCTGAGGCTTTTTCAAAATGACCATTGAAGATCTTGTTCCTTATGTTATTCAGTGCTTTTTATATATTCCACTCCGTTAATTCCTTTTAGAAGATAATAAGAAGTATGTGATTCAATGTACTTACCTTTTTACCTTTGCTGCCAGGAAACTCAAGCTAAAGTTGAGGCACAACCTCAGTAACTTGCTCATTCTGGATGTCTTTTCATACTTTTAACTTATTGTTTTCTTCTTTTTTTCTATTTTAGATTACCCTTAATTTTCTAGTTTACCCTCATATTCCATGTAAATATGTGCACATATTTTGTGCCTTTGCCAAGCAGCATGGAATCCTATAACCTTCTCTTCTGTGTGTGTTACTTTCTGTAAGGGAAACCAACACAATGGAAACGTAGCCCATTGAGAGTAAAAAATAGAACAAAGTATGCTACTTCCCTTCTCTTGGCAGAACGCATTGTCCCAACAGGTGTATCAAAAATGCTTCAAGGTAAGCCAAGACATGGGAACATTGTGCTCTGAGCAAGGTGGTTCTTTTTTCCCAGAAGGGAATGAATTCATTTGGAATGTTAGGCCCTGACAGAACAGAGCCACTCCATTCCACTCCATTGTGTCCTGGGAGTACACAGGGACTTGGTGCAGCCCCTAGAGGCAGTGGCAGTTTACAGGCATTCCTGGGAAGAACAGAGGGGGTCCCGTTGGAGGAAAGCAGGTGCACACTGTCCTGAATCTCCGCGCCTGATGCCCACCTTCATACAAGCTGCAGCTATGCCTGGGGGATGACAGTTCTGCAGAGTCCAAACTCACAAGGATAAGGGCTGGAAAAGAGGCTTTGCTGGTTTTCTGTTCCCACCAGGATGTTGGAAGCCTCCTTTTTGTCCTTTTCACTCTACGCTTCTTTTTTCTTTTCCTTTCTAAATGTTGCTGTCAGTGTACTCAGCTGAATGCTATCAGATACACAAATAACAATAGCTTCCTGGGAACGATTTGCTGCTGTGGGTCATGGGCCAGTGCCAAGAAGCCCAGGCACGCCAAGCACAGTGTTTTAGGAAAACCGCGGCTTTCAGAGAGCAGCTTCAGGATAATTGTTCAATTCCATTAGGGATTCTGGCTCCGAATGCACCTCGGAACCTGGCCCCAGTGTCTCCTCCAGGGGAACTTAGAGGTCCCCCACTCCATACCTTGGCTGGCTTTCTTTTTGATTTGTTTAATTTTCAAGAACCATCATTACTGGAATCTCGTATCTGATTGCGGTGTTCATGGAAAGAAAAATGGGAACAAGGGCTGAGAGACAGTGAGGCTTCCAGGGTGATCAGGTTGACTCGCAGAGGGAGAAATAACAGATTCCCAAATGCGGATTCTGGCACTTACACGTTTCTGAGTTTCCGATCTGGAGATCGGAGAGGTCACCGTCCTAGGGCTTGTCAGCCTCGCCAGCCTGCTGGGGCTCCCATTGTTCTGCTCAGAGTCCGGGAAGCAGATCCTGCTCCCTGATGACAGCTTCAGGCCGAGATGTTCCTGCAATGGAAGGTTTCCCGGGCAGGCTTTGCTTCCATCCTGGAGAGAGTTAACCAGGTCAGCCAGGGTCAAGGAGCAGATATCAAGTTACATATTTTCCTCCCTCATTTCCTAGCACACTCCCAGACATGCTCCACAAGGAAGGCCAGGAAGGAAGCATACCCGCCCAACAGACAAGACAGGCCAGGACCCTGGAAAGAAGAGGAAGGCACGTCTCTGGGCCTTCTCAGTCCTTACTTCCTCCTCCCTCCTTGTCCCACATTCCCCTCTGGATGGGTCTCACTCTCCAAGAAAATGGCCAGGAGCAAATCCAGGCAGAGAGGGAAGTTACTGAGACCCAGAAGCACAGCCAAGAATAGAAAGTACCTTTAATGAGCTCTTTCTATGTGCTTAATCTATGCAGCTGTTTTCTCCTCTGATC
The DNA here is from genome assembly GCF_000001405.40 of Homo sapiens. Taxonomy (NCBI): domain Eukaryota; kingdom Metazoa; phylum Chordata; class Mammalia; order Primates; family Hominidae; genus Homo; species Homo sapiens. The sequence goes on along the minus strand of NC_000010.11, from coordinate 13,990,183 downwards.
CTCAGAGCAGCCCTTTGAGGTTGGCTCTTATTCCTAACCCCACTTTCTAGAATAGGAAAACAGAGAATAGAGAGAGATTAAGTCATTTGTCCAGGGTTACGCAGCCAGCAGTGGCAGATCCAGGGTTTGAACCCAGGTAGTCTGACTTCAGAAAACTCTCCAGAGCGAATCTAAATGGGGGTCTAACCTAGAGTGAGACCCTTGGAATCCAAGCTGCTGAGAAAAGTGTCCCTTTAGAAAGGAACTCTAGGTCTGGTTGCCAGATTCAGCAAATGAAAATACAGGATGCCCAGTTACATCAAATTTCAATAAACAATGAATCATTCTTTCATCTAAGCATGTTCCATGGAGTTTGTCTGAAATTCAAATGTAACTGGGTGTCCTGTATTTTATCTGGCAACTCTTAACTATAGGGCCACTCCCATCTCTCTGCCCTCTGTCTTGTCTTCCTCTCATCATCAATAGGCTGTCTCCCTGCTTCCATTTCCCCTCTGATGCCCATCTCTGGAACAACTGAGCTGTACCTGTCCATGTATTCTTATTTAAAATCAATTATTGGCTGGGCGCGTTGGCTCACGCCTCTAATCCCAGCACTTTGGGAGGCCAAGGTGGGTGGATCACGAGGTCAAGAGATTGAGATCTTCTTGGCCAACATGGTGAAACCCCATCTCTACTAAAAATACAAAAATTAGTTGGGCGTGGTGGGAGGCTGAGTCAGGAGAATCGCTTGAACCCGGGAGGCGGAAGTTGCAGTGAGCCAAGATGGCGCCACTACACTCCAGCCTGGCGACAGAGCGAGGCGCCGTCTCAAAAAAAAGAAAAAAAAATCAATTACTAATGATCATCTAATATCACCTGAGCATCCATAATATGCCAGGGCTTCTTTGTTCAGAAGAATCAACATGGTAGCCTCTGGGCTGGTAGGTGTTAGGGTGCAACATAATCAAAAACACCAGGACCCCTGATACCCACTCAGAAGCAGGAGCCACTACCGCTAAGACGCAGTGTGGGATGGGAGGTGCCACTAGGGGGCTGGAAGACTGAGACCCCCCTCACCCCTGGTCAACCAGAGCTCTGCTTCTAAGATATTTCTTATGTCCCCACCAAATATTTCATTTGGGAAAAGATTTCCATAATTGACAAAAAAAAAAAGTTACTGAAAATCACTGTCCTAAAGCACACCTTCTCAAGCGTCAGTTTATAATGGAATCATCTGGGGGTTTTACTAAATGCAGATGCAGTCTGCATTCCTCCAAGTTCCCGTGTAGTTGCTGAGGCTGGAGCCTATAAAGGGCATTTTGAGGTCGAGGATCTAAAGTATCCTCTCTGACGTCCATGCTCATAGGTTATTTTTCTTTTTCATCTTTGTTTCAGGTAGGTAGGTAGGTAGGTAGATAGATAGATAGACGGATGGATAGGCAGATAGATCTCTATAGAAATCTACATAGAGATCTCTCTGTTCATCCATCTATCTATCCATCCATCTGTTCAACTATAGAGACCTATCTATCTATCGATCTATCGGTATCTATCCATCGGTATCTATCCACCAATTCATCCATCCATGTACCCATCCATTCATCTATCTATGTATATATGTAGATATCTGTCTATCCATCCATCCATCCATTAATTATCTTTCCCACAGCTATTTTATGCAAACACTTAGACAAAATTAGTAGTGACTGTACAACCCACTCAAAGAGAAACAAAATCCTCCTGGTGGAGGTGATCATAAGAGAGAAAGGAAGGGACTAAACACATTGAAATGTCCCTGTCTGAAAGCATTCCTTTCTTGGGCACTGGGGATACTTAAAAATACAATCCACTCTAAAAGGATCTCTTCCTCTGTGACATCCTACCAAGGTCGAAGAGTCCACTATGAGAATTTCACATTTGCCAAATTGCGAAGTCCTACAGACCTGAGCAGTCCTGGGCCTTAAAAACTCTGTAACTCCTACATGACCAAATGGGAGTCTTTACGGTTGTGTATAATACTAAAGAAGTGTTCTGCATGGATACGAGGCATATTGTAGCCTTTAGATATGAAGTACATTATTTTCACTCCTCTGTTTTGTGTAACTATTAAATAAGTGGGCCTGAGACACTGCTTTTGCCTACTGTCTGATCAGATTTTTTTTATTTTCTAGCGTATATCAAATGTGCTTGTTTCTGTTAAATTGAGAGTCCCCTCTTTTAAAAAAGAAAAACTGAAGTGTTTATTTTTTGGCCACGATGACATTGAGTGCTCCTGGTTTGGAGTGATTTATTTTTTCTCTTCCTTTACAGCTGTGACCTAGTTAATTGTAGGTAGGAAGCAAACTCTGAAATCATTAGACCTTCTGCTTTGCTTAGAAATCTTGTTCTGTTAAATTGTACGATGTCCTCTTTAATAACAGGAAGTCAGGTCTCAGAATCAGCAACATTTGTGTTCTTTGTGCATCGAGTTAAAGAAAAGTAAGTGTGTCCCCTGCAGTTTCCTCGTGGTCGGGGAAGAGAGACGGATGAGTAAATGACCCATGGATGAGTCACTCATTTCTATAACGAGTCAAAATGCTCTGTTGGCCGCAGGTTGTAACCTCTGAATATTCTAGTCTCCCATCCAGAGACAAAGGAGGGAGTGATCAGGGTCTCAGCTTGGCTGCTTGGTTCCTGACGTTGGGCGAACTCAAGTACTGAAATATCACATCATTAAGAAATGACTTTAATGTAGAAATAAATGCATGTTACTAATATTCAGGCTTTTCAAGTCTGTAAGTGGGCCCTCATGGTGGAAGGAGACATCCTGTTACTTTAAACAAAATATTTCTTTTCACGATTTAACTTTTTCATGGGAGGGGTGGGAAAAAGTTGGGTGGAAGTTTCTTAAGAGTCGATTTTCCATTCTGCATATGGGGGAAGGATCGTTTATTAACTCCTTCCATGGGCCAGTTGCTCTGCTGGGGTTTCTATCCCACGATAGTTCAGAGGTAAAGTGGCAGATCTTTCGAAGCCATGTGAAAATATGAAGCTGTAAACATTAAGTACAGTGACGGACACAGCTTGCTTCTATTTCTCTCAATCACCCTAAGTCCAAGAACTAAGGTTGAGCTACGAGCCTAGATCTATGAGATCTGTGAGATCTGAGGGCCTAGATCTATGGCTCTCAAAGTGTAGTCACATAGCCAGAACATCAGCCTCTCCTGGTAACCTGTTTGAAATGCAAATTCCCAGGCCCTACAGACATGTTTTTCCATGCCCTGCAGGTGATTCTCATACAGGTATGAGAACCACTGACCGAAACCCTTAGGTTCCATTGTGAATTGAAGAACTCATCTGCAAGCCACCAAGACCTGGTGATCTAGGGGTCTACAGCAGTGGTTCTTCTCCTTGGCTGTACCCTAGAAACCCTGAGATGCTTCTCAAAAATAACAATACTGAGTCCCTCCCCCAGACCAATAAAATCAGAATCTCTAGGAGCGGGGTGCAGGGAAAAGCTTTTCTTTTTTTTTTTTCCTTATATTTATTTTATTTATTTATTTATTTTTATTATTATTGTTATACTTTAAGTTTTAGGGTACATGTGCACAATGTGCAGGTTAGTTACATATGTATACATGTGCCATGCTGGTGTGCTGCACCCATTAACTCGTCATTTAGCATTAGGTATATCTCCTAATGCTATCCCTCCCCCCTCCCCCCACCCCACAACAGTTCCCAGAGTGTGATGTTCCCCTTCCTGTGTCCATGTGTTCTCATTGTTCAATTCCCATCTATGAGTGAGAACATTTAGCGTTTGGTTTTTTGTCCTTGTGATAGTTTACTGAGAATGATGATTTCCAATTTCATCCATGTCCCTACAAAGGACATGAACTCATCATTTTTTATGGCTGCATAGTATTCCATGGTGTATATGTGCCACATTTTCTTAATCCAGTCTATCATTGTTGGACATTTGGGTTGGTTCCAAGTCTTTGCTATTGTGAATAGTGCCGCAATAAACATACTTTCTTAAAACTTCCCAGGGGACCCCCATGGGCAGCCAGGGCTGACACCCTGGGACCACAGGAAGGGAGGACCCAGGTGGGAGAGGGTTGCTGCCGTGGCTGTAATGTCTACGCCTGTGGAAGGGAGCCTGCAGTCATTGTGCAGAATCCAAGCAGCCCCTAGAAACTCTCAGTTCTAGACAAAAGAGATGACCAAAGCCACGGGTGGCTGCAGTGTCGGGACAGTGGGGCTGGGGAGGGGCTTCGTTTGGAGCCAGTTGGTGCTGTCCTGCCAGATTGCACCTTCTCATCCCTCCCAGCTGCAGGTGTGAAAAGCTGCCAGCCTGCTCAGTTCCTAAATCAGCATCGCCAGGGCTGGCAGACTTCTAGAGGGCGGCTGTACGCTAGTGAGCAGTGTAAACCTGCTCTAAAGCTTGTGTCAAAGGCTTAGGATGGGCCAGGGGCCCTCCTGTGCCCTAGGCTGTGGTTGTTTCTTCCCAAACCCAGGCCAACCCAGTGGGCTTATGCCCTCAGCCTGGACCTGTTCTCTGCTTTCCCGTGGAGACTGGTGCCTGCCAGGGCTGCGACATGGTTCCATGGCTGGCTTTTGCTAACCCTGCTCCCAGCTCAGGGCCCTTCTTCACATCTAAAAGGATCCTATTCTCTCTCCGGCATCCCAACCTTAGCATATGCCTGGCTTTCCAGGCTCTTAGGCCTGACCTGAACTCACACCCACTCCCTGAAGACTACCTACATTCAAGGAGATTTAAATGAGTCTAGAGCCAGAATCAGCCTGTAGCCACCAACCCCTCAAACCACCCAAGGCCAGTGGGAGGTGCTCAGCAGGCGTCCTCCATTCCAGCCTCCTTCCCTGTCCCATGGTCCTGAGTAGAGAGACCAGCTGACCTTACCACCAAGGCTCCAGGGTCCCAGTGAGCAGATCAGCCAGCCCCAAGTATGCAGGAGGAGGGACACCCGAGGGCGAGGCTGGGGCCTAGGGGCCAAACACGTGAGCCGGACTTCAGAGCTAAGCTCCCACTCCAGCCCGGAATGCGAAGGCAAACCAAGCAGACGGAGGAAAGGTCAGGGTGAGCCAGCCACCTTGGGAGTCAAAGGAGCACAGGGTTACCTGAAGCCCACACCAGCAGGGCTCATGAGGCTAAGCCACTCCTAGATGTCAGCAGGCATGTCTGTGGGCAGCGTCCCTGCCTGCTTCAGGAGTGGAGCAAGCGCTGCCTGTGGCAGAAATAGTAGGTGGGAAAGATCAGTATCTAACAGCACAGAGCTTCCCCCAAATTACACACAGGATTGCCATGGGATCCAGCAGTCTCACTCCTGGGTAAATCCCCAAAGGAATGGGAAGCAGGGACTTGGGGAGATATTTACACACTCTTAGTCACAGCAACGTGAGTCACAGTAGCCAAAAAGTGGAAACAACCCAAGTGCCCGCTGATGGATGAATGTGGTCTCTCCATACAATGGAACATTACTCAGCCTTAAAAAGGAAGCGAATTCTGACACATGCTACACCACGGATGAACCCTGAGCACCTTATGCTGAGTGAAATAAGCCAGTCACAAAAAAACAAATAATATGTTTCCTCTTATACGAGCTACGAAGAATTGTCAAACCGACAGGGACAGAAAGCAAAACAGAGTTACCAGAAGATGGAGAGGGGAGGAATAGGAAGTTACTGTTTAATGGGTACAGAGGTCGGTTTTGCAATCTGAAAAACTTCTGGAGATGGCTGCACAACGCTGTGAATATACTTAATGCCACTGAACGGCACATTTAAAAATGGTTAAAATTGTAAAGTTTGTATTACGTATATTTTACCACAATAAAAATAGGTCAGTATCTGGAACTGAAAGGGTTGGGGGTTGGATGCCCACAGGTAGGTGCTTCCATCCATCACACATGAAATGAGGAAGGGGCTGTTCACCTGGCCACAAGGGGAAACTTCACCCCTGGGCTCTGGACACACGTTCGACTTCATAAAACCCCGCCATGTGGGCTGCTCTGGTTTTAACGCTTTGAAATCTGTCCTGGGTTTTGCTGAAGGAGCTGGCGTGCCCCCTGCAGAAAGCACCCCAGGCCACTTCACCGTGGTCAGACTCAGGAAGGGGCCCTCAGACTTGCCCCTCATCAGTGGCTCACTACCGAGACCCCTAGTTCCAGCTGAGTGAGGAGCCGTGGTTCCCAGTTGTTTTTTTTTTGAGACAGAGTCTCCTTCTGCCACCCAGGCTGGAGTACAGTGGCGCAGTCTCGGCTCACTGCAACCTCTGCCTCCCAGGTTCAAGCGATTCTCCTGCCGCAGCCTCCCGAGTAGCTGGGATTATAGGTGCCCGCCATCATGCCCGGCTATTTTTGTTTTTTTTTTTAGTAGAGACGAGGTTTCACCACATTGGCGAATTTGGTCTCGAACTCCTGACCTAAGGTGATCCGCCTGCCTCGGCCTCCCAAAGAGCTGGGATTACAGGCATGAGCCACCGCGCCCGGCCCCCAGTTTATTAAGAAACATTAACAGATCTAACAGATGGCTCTCACCTCCTAGGTATCTCCTGGTCTCTGAATTCTAAATCACCACTTTTGTTTCTGCAACAAGAGGGAAATAACCAATACCTCAAACCAATTTCCTTCTTCTCTAGGGAATTATATTTTAGTATAATTTACCTCAAATTATACTACCCAGAAACATTTTTCTGGAAAAAAATATATATATATTCTGGGTTTTTTTGATGACTCGAACAATCAAGTCTAAGCTCATTGTCCTTATAGATTTTCAATGCCTTCATGGCCTAGGAGGATGTAATTACGTTTTTTTTCTATTGAAGCGTTAAAGGGCATTGCTCTTCTTTGCATCGGTCATTTCCCAGCTCCTGGCTTGTCAATTTCACGGTTGCCTCGGCTCAGGGGAGGATGAACTTTGCTTTATTGCAAATGAGGAAGAGGACTGCTTGCAAATTTAGGAACACATTGAGCCTTGGGTTAAGTAAATATTTCACTTATATGGGACACTTGGCCTCTGTCAGAAATTGGCGACCAGCCTGGCCGACATGGTGAAACCTCATCTCCACTAAAAATACAAAAATTAGCCTGGTGTAGTGGCACACGCCTATAGCCCCAGCTAGTTGGGAGGCCGAGGCAGGAGAATCCAGAATCACTTGAACCAGGAGGCAGAAGTTGCAGTGAGCCGAGATCTTCCCACTGCACGACAGAGCCAGACCCCATCTCAAAAAAAGAAAAAAGAAATTAAAAGAAAGAAATTGACAGGACAAAGAGGACCTGCAAATAGAGGGACTTCTTGTTGGCTGATGCACCTGTAGGGCGAGGAGAAATCTTTGCCTTTGCCCTCAGAAAGTTCGCTGAAAATTAGCTGACAAAATCAGTACATTCATAGAGGAAAAGGCATACAAATTTATTTGATCATACTTTTATGCGACACAGGAGCCTTCAAAATAAAGACCCAAAGATACAGGCAAACTGTCTATTTTTATGCTTAGGTTCAGTGAAGTATGGGCAGCCATGTAGATAATACAACTGGACAAAATGTGTCTAATGGACTGAGTGGGAAGACCCAGTAAGGCCTGTCTGTCTAGATTCTTCTTGGCCTCTCTGAGCAGCGTTCCTTCCTTCTGGGTATAGGGCAGGACCCTCTCTGGAATGGGGGTCTTATGACCTACAGTCAAACAAGGTAGGTCAGAGGATCCCTTCCCCCCCCTCCCCTCCCCTCCCCTCCCCTCCCCTCCCCTTCCCTTCTCAGGCTGAAGTACAGTGGTGAAATCACAGCTTACTGTAGCCTTGACCTCCTGGGCTCAAGTCATTCTCCTACCTCAGCCTCTCTAAGTGTTGGAATTACAGGCGCATGCCACCGTGCCCAGCTAATTTTTTATTTTTTGCAGAGATGGGGTCCTCCTATGTTGCCCAGGGTGGCCTCGAACTCCTGGGCGCAAGTGATCCTCCTGCCTTGGCCTCCCAAAGTGCTGGGATTACAGGCATGAGCCACTATGCCCAGCTGAGAATTTCTTTGTGTTTAGCTTTAACATAGAAAGATGTAAAAGGGGAAATTTCAAGTGACATTTTTAGGTTTTATGGCTGGCTTTGGGAAAAAAGGGTTCTGGTTTCCAGAAACCACCTTGGGGAAGAGGGATTCTAGTTTGTATGGCTACGCCTGTGGGAGGATGAGGGGCCAGAGACGGGAGGATCAGAGATGGGAAAAGGTCAGAGAGAGCTGCTTCTAAGGCTTTCATTTTTGAGTAACATTTTCTGAGCCCCAATACATATAATCCGGCAGGTAACCTGGCCTCACTTTCTCCTCACCTGCACACCTACCTGCTTCTACCTGCAGGTCACTGGATCCCCACTGGGAGCTTGACCCCCTGCCCTAACAGGAAGAACAGAAAATTGCAGTCACAGGGAGATGGAGCAGTCTCCAGCCTGCTTTGGCCTCCCTTTTTTTTTTTTTTTTTTTTTTTTTTTTGACACGGAGTCTTGCCCTGTTGCCCAGGCTGGAGTGCAATGGCGTGATCTCGGCTCACTACAACCTCCGCCTCCGGAGTTGAAACGATTCTCCTGCCTCAGCTTCCTGAGTAGCTGGGATTACAGGCACCCACCACCATGCCCAGCTGATTTTTGTATTTGTAGTAGAGGCGGGGTTTCACCACGTTGGCCAGGCTGGTCTTGAACTCCTGATCTCATGATCCGCCTGCCTCGGCCTCCCAAAGTGCTGGGATTACAGGTGTAAGCCACCGTGCCTGGCCTCCCTTAAGTATTCTATCCACCATAGCTTGTCCTTTCATACACCTTTCAGTCTGTTTGCTCTCAGCATACCTAGTTTCTGGCCTCCTGGTCGACCTAAACTCTCGATTCATTATTCACAGATGCTTTGGTTGACTGCTTTAAACCCATTGATTCACCTTGACCTTTAAATTCTGGATGGCTGGTTGCCTGTGCCACTGTGCTGACTTCCACAACTTCCCTGGACCTCCAACCCATGATAGTTCTTGGTTTTCCAAGCTTCGTTACCAAATCATAACCCATATCTACCATCCTCAGTCAAATACAGATCAAGAACACACCACACTACCTACAGGTAGGCTCATTTAAATTATTCCAAGAAGCAGAGCTCCAAATGCATATATTTTTATCTACAAGAGATCTTCATGAGAAAGGCCAGCCTAAATTCTTCAGCAGTAGTCTAGGCAACTCACTAAATTAATGAGATTATCCTAAAACAGGCCTGATTTTGCATATATCAAAGGATTTATTTTTTTCTTACTCACTTGGAGTTTGAATATAAAAGTCTGATTCATTGACTAATCCAATCTCCATGGACCAACTCAAGACAGATCATTCATGGCAGCTTTTTGTTTTGTTTTATTTGTGTTGGATTTTTCTACTATCGTTGGTCTGGGTGTGGTTTCATGAGAAGACTTTGTTAAAATAACGAACAATTTTTTTAATTTAATTTTTAAAATATTTGATTTGATTTGATTTTTACGGACAGGGTCTCACTCTGTTGCCCAAGCTGGAGTGCAGTGGTGCAATCATAGCTCACTGTAGCCTCTCACTCCCAGGGTCAAGCAATCCTCCAGCCTCAGCTTCCCAAGTAGCTGGGACTTAGGCTCCCCCAGCTAATTATTTTTTATTTTTGTAGAGATGGGGTCTTTCTATGTTGCCCAGGCTGGTCTCGAACTCCTGGCCTCAAGTGATCTTCCAGCCTCAGTGTCCCAAAGCATTGGGATTACAGGGCATAAGCTGCTGTACCCAGCCTATATTTTTAATTTTAACCGACCATTTATGGAGTGATCGAGATTTCTTTAGCAAATATAGAAAATGTGATGGACTAGAATAAAATAGATTTTTTTTGTTTTTACCACAGTCATGCTGGAATGCGGAGGGCTTGTTGGAGTCCCGACTCTGGACTCAGTGACACTGTGGGACTGGGCCCTGGGGAGAGACAGTGCTGTGGTCAGCAGAGAGTCTCCCAGACGGGCTCTTCGAACGGCCAGATACCATTTACACCTCTGCTTTCTTTTTCCCCTTGAGAAAAGCATTCTAAGAAAGAAGAGAAAAATGCAGTCTAGAAAATGGCTTCCAAAAGTCATTAGTTTGCCAAAATTGCATCTGCCCTCCAGCAGGGATGTTGACCCCACTTACATTAGTGCAGCCTCTCCATTCCCATTCATCAGGTCCCCAGCATTGTGAATGCCGTGGTGAGTGTTGTTTTCTTTCCAAATAAGAAAGGGAATGGGGTGCTCATAGACCCGCTCTTGAGAAGCCAACATGAGAAGTACAATGGCCCTGCCTGTTAGAGAGTTTCAGCTGCACCAGGGTGGATTTTATGTAGGCATGGCCACCTAAAAGCAGCAAGAGAAGCCATAGCCTGTGTTTTAACAGAACATACATAGTTTCATTCATTCAGTAGTCATTACATTCCCATTACACTCAAGACGCTAGAGATTTTTTAAAAAGAAAGACTGCTACTTTAGGAAGATGAGTTTTAGAGAGCAAAGAGACTATGAGAAATGAATAGAGCATTGAAAACTGAAAACCCCTCTAATACCTACTATAAACAATGTAATACCCCCAACGAGTCAAGAGTTCAAAGGAATTTAAGTTATAGGTTAAAACAAAGTGTTCTTAGCTCTTTTTACCTCTTATAAATTCTACTTCACCTCCTTCATATCTGAAAGAGACACTGACTTGCTGCTCCTCACTGAGCAATCCTCCAACCTCTTCCCAGCTTCTAGACACACATTTTCTAACCTCTTAATTCCTCTTTGGAAAGGAAGTGTTAATTATCTCCCAAACAACTCTCCTATGAGCATAAAGTCAGCTTAATCGTCCTCTGCGAAAAGGAAGTGACTCTAGGCCCACCTGCCCTTCTCTCTGGGGACCCCTTTCTCAAGCAAGCAGACCTCCTTTTCTTATGAGCAGGACCCCCACTTTACAACTTCACTCCCACCAGGCCCCAGACCTGCATGTAACCCCTAAACAAAACAAATATGTATTTTTTTTCACATAAGGCTTTGATTACACATATGCATGCTTGCGAAGTACGTACTCAAAAATCATCCTTGGGAAAGGATGAATTTCGTGGAAACCAAATAACAGGAGATTAAGAAAAGAGGGTCTGAGGGCATTTAATTTCCAACTCATGGCCTGGACTGATTTAATTCAGGCGGCTCTGGTTTTATTTCTACTGGGGCCTGGTGTGCATATGGCAGCTTACTTTCCTAAGGGGTAATTGATAGATGACATCACTTTTATGGCCATAGGATCACTTGTATAATCATGGGTGGAGCTTGAGGGGAATATTTCTAAGCATAGCTCTTGGCTTGCTGCTTGGGAGTGCTTAAGTCAGAGGGCAGCTCCTGCCTCTCCTGTACTTTCCCAGGGACCCAAAATATTTTTATATACACAGCAAAGCATTTTTAAAAGGTTATTCTCCAGTCCCCAAGATGAACACAGTGAGTTTCCTAGCATTTATATAAATGAGTTTTTTGGGTTCTCAGGTTGAGAAACGATGATGCCATGATGACTCTTGGTTGGAGCTGGGACGTTTTCCAGACCCAAATATGGGATTAAATGTGTGAGTTAGCAATCCTGAAATGCCTTGGGATTTCAAAAGACTGTTTGGGTTTGGGTTTTGCATATCACCCACTCAGTTAGCCGTACCAGTGCTATTTCTAAATAGCATTTTTTTTTCCAAGGAAGTGGAACCCGGATTAGAAAATGGCAAATGGTAACTTCCAAAAATATTTGGACTTTTGCCCCATGGTGGGTGTGAGAGAGTCAGGAGCAGAAGAAGGAGGTATGGAGGGGCTGTTGAGAGAGGAAGAGGACATTCTGGGCTCTTCTGTACTCCAGCCTCTTTTCCCCAGATTCCATCTGCTGCAGCCTGCTGGGGGCTAAAGCATGGGGGACAGCACACCAGCCCCCTAAAAGCAGCCCTTTCTGTTGCTGCCTCCACCCTATCCTACCCAAAGGCCACGTCATAGAATCCAGCTAGAAAACCAAGAACACCACCACTTAACACTAGGATGGCTGTAATCAGAAACAAGATTGGCAAGGAGGTAGAGAAATTGGAACCTTCACACACTGCTAGTGGAAATGTAAAATGGTACAGCTGCTTTGGAAAACTGTCTGGCAGTTCCTCAAATGGTTCAACAAAGAATGACCATCTGACCCAGCAATTCCACTCCGAGGTATGTGCCCAAGAGACAAGAAAAACATACACCTCACAAAAATGCTTACACAAGTGTTTATAGCAGCATCATTGATAGTAGCCAGAGAGTGGGAACAACCCACATGTCCATCAACTGATGCATGGATAAACACAACATGGTCTTTCCACATAATCAAATATTATTCAGCAAAGAAAAGAAATGTACTGGCACATGCTACAATATGGATGAATCTTGAAAACATTACGCTAAGTGAAAGAAGTCAGCCACAAAGACCCCATTAATATAAAATGTCCAAAAGTGGCAAATCTATGGAGACAGAAAGGAGACTAAAGGCTGCCAGTAGCTAGGGGGAATGAAGAGAAATGGGGAATGACAATGACAGCTAATGGGTGTGGTTTTCTTTTGGGGGATGAAAATGTTCTAAAATTAGATTGTGGCAATGGTTGTAGAATCCTATGATTAAACTAAGAAACCACTGAATTGTACATTTTAAATGACTGAAGTATACGGTATATCAATTATATCTCAATAAGGTATTTTTACGTTTTTAAGAGCACTGACAAAGAGTGATAGGCCACCTTCATTTAAAGAACAAAGCTTCCAACACTACTGCTACCCAGCATTTTGATTACACATGGAGATTGCTTAACGGCATTCAGTGGATGGAAAGAAAGAAATTTGCAGTAAATTTAAACCTCAGTTTGAGTCTTGTGTTGGAAGGCAGGAAAGGAATGTGGCATTAAAACACCGATTAGTAGTTAAGACCTGGAAAAGTCCTTACGTGACACAGAAGTAGAGGACGCCTGCTCACTGCTCACAAAGCACAAAAGAAATCTGCTTTCTACAAAACCAGAAAATACGACCGATGGGCATTTCTGAGTGCATATCTGCCTTTCCCTCTCACTCTTGTGGATTTATTTATTTTCCTATCACCTTCTCACTTTGGAATAAATCGGCTATTGATCTTCTTTTGTTCTTCCAAGAGAACAGATGTGACTTAGGCTAAGGCGTTAATTCCTTGAAGTTTCTTGATATTAGGCCTCAACTGTACTGGGCTTTGCTCTTGGAGAAATTGTCCTTTACCTTGAGATCAGATCAGTAAAAGATAACAAAATGCATCCAAGAAAGTCTTTTTAAAAATGCTATTTGCACTAGTAGCTGACTTTGACCTGAGATAGAATAGTTCTTCAGCCAATCTTATGGCTGACGTTTTTACAAACAGATAGCAATAAATAATCCCTGAATGATTAAGATGGGTTACATTAGATTGCACTTCTGAACATATTTCTTTAGTTGCTATAAATATACTTCTCCACGTGTATGCTGTTTTCTGTGTATTTATGTATTTGCAAATTTTGTTCATAATAGCACTACACATTACTTGCAACTGAGTTTTTCCTATTCCTTTTCAAGGCAGTAATTATGTCTTAAAACATTCCCAGAGCCAGGCAAAGGCATTTGTTGCTTAAAAAAAAAAAAATTCCTCTGTCTTTACAGAAGCAGTGAACGAGGGTCTGGGAGCCGGGATAGAAAACACAGAAACTCCGAGATAGGGAAGATGATTAACCAGTGGGACGGAGGTGGGAGCTGCAGGGGATGGGGCTGGGAGTCCGTACCTGGCAGTCTTCCCTGCCATGCCAAGGTCCCACCTCCTCTTCTGTCCTGTCTTTGGGCAGGGGAACTCCTGGCATCAGCAACACCTGCCTCCCTCCCAGGTCAGCCACTGAGTTAGGGCTCCCAGCCCAAGTTCCCTTCCCCAATGTGCAATCCCAGGACCAAGACCTCAGCTTCTCCTTGGGATGTTTCCCCAGGACTTACAATAGACAAACACTCAGCAACTCACCCCATCTGGCCAGCTAACTCAATGCTTGACTCTTTTCACCCCTAATAGTAGCAAAAGTCTCATGGAAGGAGGAGTGAGACAGTGACTGCTCCTTACTCTGTCTTCCTGGTGTCTAACATGGTATTCCCTACCCTTTAGACACCAAGAGGTCACTCTGTCCTCGTCCATTACCCTTTAGGTTTTGCGATCAACTGTCTAAGTGGTAAACTACCTAGAAGATGCTTATTTTCTATAATTCTTGAGAAAAGAATAAGGAAAGTGATGAAGAGAGGTTGGGAGTTAGACCGGTCCAGGTCACATGTTCACCTGGTGAGCCCTGGTGTCTTGCTCCAGCTTCGTCACAGTGTGCAGGAGGTCTGGCTGGCTGCTTGCACCATCTGTGCTGGGACCTCCTCTGTAAGATGAAGGTGTGTACACACACACATAGAAACACAAGAGACAGACACATATATAGAGATTCAGAGAGATTCACAGAGACACACAGACACACACAGAGATAATGACCCCCATAAAACACACAGACACAAACACACATAGAGATTCACACACACATGGATAGACACACACATAGACACACACGAGACAGACACACACAGAGATTCACAGAGACAGACACAGACACACACATAGATACACAATGACCCACACAAACACACAGACACAGTACACACATACATAGATGCATACACAGACACACAATGACACACAGACACATAATAGACAAACAGACACACGAATAGACATGAGACACACATACGCACAGACACATATGCACAGACACACACACAGAGACAAAGACATATGCAGTAGACACACACATACACACAGACACAGACACATACATAGAGGCTCAGAGATAGGCACACACACACATACACACACACATTAACATATGATAGACATATACACAGACACAGACACATACATAGAGGCTCAGAGATAGGCACACACACACATACACACACACATTAACATATGATAGACATACACACAGACACAGAGACTCACAAAGACAGACTCACAGACACACAGTAGACACACACACACAGGTACATACATAGAGACTCACAGAGCCAGGCACACACACACATACCCACAGGCACACATGGACACACATACACACACAGACTCAGAGACACGCACATGCATACTCAGACACGCACAGACACACACATGCACTCACACAGACACACACACACACACCTATAGTGAATTGCTCTGAGGTTTCTAAATCCCTTTGAAAAGCAAGGGCATTGTTCTCAATGGCAGTCATGCCACTTGCACGCACAGCCTCTCAGAGGCCACGTGGGGAGCTGCCTTGTGAAACTCTGAATTAGCGATTTAAAGGCTAGGGCAGAGCCAGGTGCAGTGGCTCACACCTGTAATCCCAGCACTTTGGGAGAGCGAGGCGGGTGGATCACCTGAGGTCAAGAGTTCAAGACTAGCCTGGCCAACGTGGTGAAACCCCATCTCTACTAAAAATACAAAAATTAGCCAGGCATGGTGGCGGGTGCCTGTAATCCCAGGTACTCGGGAGGCTGAGGCAGGAGAATCACTTGAACCCAAGAGGCGGAGGTTGCAGCGAGCTGAGATTGCATCATTGCATTCCACCCTGGGCGACAGAGCGAGACTCCGCCTCCATCAATCAATCAATCAATCAGTCAAGGCTAGGGCAGAATCATGTAGATGATTGAAGATACAGGACCAGTGAAATCAGGCAGCATCCTCCAACGGCACTGTCACCCCGAGCTTCCATGGGCACAGAGACAGGCGTCTGCTGCTGGTGTCACCAGGCTCCGATTCCAGACTCCAGAGCAAGCCCCACTAAAGCACGCCACTCATCCCCGCAAATGGTAAAGATATCAGGGCAGCTTGAGTAGGTCTTGCTGTTCTCGGGAATTCTTGTTTATATTCAGTCATTTTTCAAAAGAGCTTATTATAGCACCTTTATACTCAAAAGATTCCCAGACCATAAGCTAAATATATACATTTCACTTTTTTAATTTTTAAAGTCACTTTACTTCGTCGTAGAATAAAACAATGCCTTTAGAACTGTCCCTATCCAGAGGTGGAGCTTTCAGTGAGCCGAAATCGCACCACTGCACTCCAGCCTGGGCGACTGAGCAAGACTCTGTCCCAGAAAGAAAAAAAAAAAAAAAAAAAAGAACTGTCCCTATCCAGTCCATAATTACATGCTTTGGATAAGAGTCTGGTTCACAGCCAAGATCTCCAGAGGTTGGAGAGCATTAGTTCAGAGCACACACACTGAAACTAACTATAATATATCTTGCATGTGTTTTTTCATGAAAATACCAATGCAGTTAGCTAATGTTAATGTAAGCATCATTTTCTGCGTACTGTATGCTTTTTAATTTAATTTACTCTTCACCCTCCCTCCCTTTCACCCTCCCTCCCTGCCTTCCTCCTTCCTTCTTCCCTTCCTTCCTTTCTTCTTATCTTCCTATCGTCCTACCTTCCTTCCCCTCCCCTCACTTCTCTTCCCTCTTAGATAAAACTTTCTGGTGATGGGGTTTTTGTAGAAAGGCAAGATTCTGTAGTACCCACCTGCTTTTCATTACTGGGGTGCAAAAATAAGGGAATAGTACACAGGAATAAAATTATGCACCGTGTTTTGCCTTAGGGTGATTATTCATGGAAAAATGATAAAACTATCCAAAAAAGAGTTTACATTAAAATGGGCCAGGTGAGGTAGCTCATGCCTGTAATCCCAGCATTTTGGGAGGCTGAGGCAGGATGATCACAGGAGGCCAGGAGCTTGAGATCAGCCTGGGCAACATAGAGAAACTCCCCCAAAAATAAATAAAGGCTGCATTATATTAATTAAACAAATTAATGCATAAATTCAAAGCAAAAGGAGAAAACGTATTAAAAGAACATAATTTAGAGAACCACAAATTTTTATCCTAAGGGTTTCATATTATCAGTGGTAGATAATGTCCTTGAATTACCAGATCATAAGTGGGGGAAAAAATATCAGCCTCATGCCATGGTCTTTATTATCCACTTTAAGTAAGTGACCTCATTTAATCCTCACAACCTAGTGAGGTAGGTATTATTTCCATCGGTCAGATCAAGAAATAAGTCAGAGGAGTTAATTAATTTGTCTGAGGCCACACAGAAAATGACAGAGCCAAATTCAAACTGAGGTTACAAAGGACTCCAGGACGCTCCAGTAGATTAGTAGATTTTACATTTCTACTTTTCTGATGGTATTAGTTAAGGTCGAAGAGACAGATAATAAATAAACAAATGGAATGTGGAGAAGGCAAACATGCCTTATGACTTACCATGATTTTTCAGGACTGTGCAATCAAAATGACATTAAAGATTAAACATGCTCTTTGTCTTAATTGTACAGCTAGGTCGTGGCTGCATTCTCCCCTCCCCCTTCTTTCCCTTCCAGCTTTGGAATCTCACCTTTTGGTATGTAATTTATTGAATTAGGATGCAGATGCCATTCTAAAATAATCAACAATCAAAACAACTTATGAAATTCCAATGGTTATGACACGTTTAATTGAAGGACTTTCCTTGAGTTAATTTCTACCTGTAGCTTACCCAACATGCATTAAAATAGCAAGACGGTTTATAGGAAGTAACCCCTCATGCGGGGCGAAAAAAAAAACGGGATAGGTTGACTTTACCTCCTTTTCCCTGCTTTCCTCCAAATCTTGGATGTTGATATGAAATCCATCAGATAAGTATTCTTTCCAGCCATTTCAATCCCAACCTAAACTTGGGACGCTTCCAAAGAAAATGCCTGGCTTCTTACAAATTGCCCACAGAAATAGCAATTTCTCCAGTGCTGCTACAGAATGGGACTTTTTGCTTGACCTTGTGGAAACTCATGGGTTCTCCAAGTTGTAAAGAGTTAAGAAAAGGGATGGAATGTCTGGGGAATGTTGCAGGGAAGGCTGCAGCTCTCTGCTCTTAGCTTTCTCACCCTGGAGGGGATCCCAACACTCGGTGGTGCTTCTGGGTCTGAGGTCTTCCCTAAGTTCTGTTTGATCTGCCAAAGAGCCAGCCTCAGTCCACTGAGAAACAGGGATGTGCCGTTATCTGCACACTGAGGTTTATTTTTACCTTGTCCCTGGTGAGTCCCCAGAGACAAGGAGAAAACACTTTGGGAGGGAGTTAAGAGCCTTTTGCTTATCCTTGAAGGAAAGCAGTCTCTGAGGATTAGTGAGGGTGGTGGTGAGGGTAGGTAGGGGGAGGAGAGTCAGAGGAATCAGAGTTATTTGGACTGCATTTTTTCCTTGCCTGATTAAATCTTACTGACATTGGCACTTTGTGTCACTAAAAGAACACAGCCCTGGATGTGGGGCCAGGGACCAGAGGGTTGGCGGCAGAGTCTGGGGCTGGCATGGCTGCTGGGCTGCTTGGCTCTGAGGACCCACCGTGGAGTTGGAACCTGACTTGTCGGGCGCTGAGGACCTGCCAAGTGAGGAACATTCGAGTTCTGCAGCTGCTGCTAAAACCATGGTGCATCTCCAGGGCCGTCTATCAGGTGGGACCAGAAGCTCCTCTTTCGTTTCTTTGAAGCATGGGAAAGTGGTGGTGAATGGTGGAGAAGGGGGCATGAGCTATTGTCACATGTGTTCGGGACTCTGAAGCATGTTACATTTAACAGGGAGCAGTTAACATGAACAGAGCCTCATCTTCTAGGTGCCATGCGTGCCATACGGTGCGCCACGTGAAGTGCACCGTAAACATGATTTAATTCAGCTTTCAAAGCCACCGGATCGAGGAAGTGCCTATGTCACCATCTTGATTATTATTGTCACCATTTTGAGATGAGGTTATTGAAACTCAGAGAAGGATGTAAGTTGTTCAAAGTCACCCAGACAGAGCCTGGTGATTTCAACCAAAGTTCTCCTGGCTGCAAAGACAAAGGATGTTCTTTCCACAAATCCACGCTCCTCTCACAATGGATGATTTATCAAACCGTGCGTGCATGCGGTGTGTGCATGTGTGCGTGCGTGTGCATGCATGTGTGTGCCTGTGAGTATGCATGCATGTGTGTGAGCGCGTGCGTGCGTGTGTGCATGTGTGCACGTGTGTGTGTGTGAGTGTACCTATGTGTGTGCACCTGTGTGTTGGGGGTGGTGACAAGCTGGTAAGGGGAATGTGGTGTGTGGGACAGGAGGCAAGGCGGGAAGATCCTCAGGCACCAACACTGAGCCTCCTTTCCTTTACATAGTGGCCTCTGAATTCAGACACACACCTCTCAACCCAAATATGAGAAAAGGAGAGAAACTTTCCTGAGGGAGAGTGGCACTTCTGAGTCAGTTAACTGGCGGTGGGTGCAGAGCACTTCAAAAAGGGGAGACAAGAGTGCTTTCTCCAGCTATCAGTCCAGTTTGGTGGCATTAAGCCACGTCCCTGCTGGCCGCGGAGACTTCAGTCCTGACAGCCCCAGCCCCGCCTGAGAGGACCCAGATTGCGTGGGGAGTGGGGGGCGCAGGCAGCATAGCAAGTGAAAGAATGTCCCTTGGCCTGGCTCTTGAAGGGGGGTGTCGCTCATTTTTCCTCCTCTCACGGGTGTTTGTAACCCAGTTTATTTCATTAAGTCGACTTGAGTGGTTTTGGCCCTCCCTCTGTAAGCTGGCTCATGACAATACTTGTAACCCAGCATGCACAGCTGGCCTTTGTATTTTTAGGTGTAATTTGGTGGTCTATAATTCCTTAATAAAACGCACTGGCTAAACCACCCGTCCCCTCGCTCCACCCCTCCTCCTGGAATGTCTGGACTTTCAGGGGAGGGAGGCGCCCTGGAAGATGTGCCCAAGGGTGTCGGGTTGATTTCACAGATGGGCACAGCCCCGCAGGACCCCTGCTCCTGCTTCTTCACCTGCCCCTGGGCAGGCGGGGGGTAGACCCTTTACATGGCTTCTGAAGACTTTTCTAGAATTCTCGTGCTTGAAGGGCACGTACCTAAAAGCTTCACTCTAAATATCAAGTGTGTCTGTCATAGATCATATATAAAAGAAACTTTTAGAGAAATCCTTCCAAATTTGACCAGCATCCGAAAAGTTCACATAAGATTTCCCATGACAAGCTGTGAATCTGAAAGAATCCTGGGGGAAAAAAAATCCCCCAGCTGGGAGATTCAAGCAGTAATGTGGCTGGTTTGTCCATTTGAAGCTTTTCTGAAACCGTGATTTAGAGTCAAAAGTCCCCAAGCTGGGTATGTGGGGGTAATTACTTAGTCAAGATGATTCTGTCTTTCCAGTGATTACAAATGAGTTTTGAAGCCCTGGCTTCTGGCCTCCACCTCTCACTTTCATTTCATCTCTTTCTTTTTTTGGTGGGGGAGGGAACAGGTTATTGCTCTGTCACCCAGGCTGCAGTGCAGTGGTGCAATCACGACTCATTGCAGCCTCAACCTCCCTGGGCTCAGATGATCCTCCCACCTCAGCCTCCCAAATAGCTGGGACCATGTCACCATGCTCAGCTATTTTTTAGAATTTTTTTGTAGAGATGGGGGTCTCACTACGTTGGCCAGGCTAGTCTTGAACTCCTGTCCTCAAGTGATCCTCCTGCCTCGGCCTCCCAAAGCGCTGGGATAACAGGTGTCGGCCACCACATCTGGCACTCTTTGTCTTTTAAATCAACTAAGCAGGGTGGGCTAGCCCCGCCTCAGGGGCCATTTTTTAGGATTTCCATTAATGTCGTAAGTATACTGTAGAGAGTGCTGAATGATTGGCCACCGGGCCTGGAAAAAGAATACATTCCTGCTCAAGCATGACTCAGTTCAACTCTGCAGACAGGTCCTCAGCAGCAGATAGGTGCCTGGCCCCATCATAGGCGTTTGGGGCTCAAAGGCTAACCACGCCTCGTGCTTGTCTGTGGTCTCTGGCCAAGCCAGGCCCTTGGGGGCAGATATGTCCAACCCAGGCAGCTGGGAGGTAATCCCCATGGGTGGGTCTGGAAGGCAGCCAGGATGGCAAGTCTAAACCAATTCACCAACCTGGGAGGCTCAGTGAACAAGGACTGGTTAGCAGCCTGCAGAGCCAGGCCGAGGGGCCTGGGAGAAGAAGAGGCGGCCCAGAGCAAGACCAGGCTGGGGTGGTCTGCAGGAGGTCCAAGATTACCAACCCATGGTCAGCATTTACCTTCCCCAGCCCTCCTTTCTACTGCCAACCAGGGCCGTTTTAAAGACATATCTGTAATAATACATGGGCCATTTTCCATTCTTCATAGTCTCACAGGAAAGAGCCAAGAACGCAAGAACTGCATTTCAACAAATAGAGGATTTGAGAAAAGTGCAGAGAGCAGCTACCTTTGCTCAAGAAAAACTTCACTCCCCCCTCAAAAAAAAAATCTGTTAGTCACTCCTAGCCTTTGCTTTCTCCATTACAGAATGGGAATGATAGCTTCATGCATTGTAGGGATTAAATAAGTGATGGAGCCAGGTGCAGTGGCTCACGCCTGTAATCCTAGCACTTTGGGAGGCCAAGGTGGGTGGATCACCTGAGGTCATGAGTTCAAGACCAGCCTGACCAACATGGAGAAACCCCATCTCTACTAAAAATACAAAAAATTAGCCGGGCATGGTGGCACATGCTTGTAATCCCAGGTACTCGGGAGGCTGAGGCGGGAGAATCGCTTGAACCCAGGAGGTGGAGGTTGCAGTGAGCTGAGATCGCACCATTGCGCTCCAGCCTGGGTGAGAAGAGTGAGACTACGTCTCAAAAAAATAAAATAAGCGATGGATGTGAAAGTGTGTCACAAAGACTAAGAAAGATACAAATGTGAAATGTTGTTTTTGTTGAAATATTGTATTTTAGCTGTCTTTGATCTTGGGAAAGACTCATCTTGAGTGTATTTATTTATTAGCGATTTTAAGCAGTACTTTTTTGTAGTTTGCGGTGTCTTCATTGGCTAAGGCGATGGCTGATGGCTCTGGATGAGTTCACCTAGGGAACTTTTTAAACACACCCATACTCAGTCCTGACTCCCAGCGGTTCTGATTTAGTTGATCCGGGGCTTAGGTGTTGGGATGGTCTAAAGGTTTTTGATACTAATGTGCAGTCCACCCGGAGCCACTGAACTGAAGGGGCCTCATTCTGCACATAGCAAAAGGCAGCATCAGGATCACTGGGGAGCCACTTTAAATATGTATAAAATGTCTTAAGCGCCCCCGCTGAAGTGCAGTGGTGTAATCATGGCTCACTGCAGCCCCGACCTCCTGGGCTCTGGGGATCCTCCACCTCAGCCTCCCAAGTAGTTGGGACCACAGGCATGCGCCACCACGCCCAGCTAATTTTTGTATTTTTTGTAGAGATGGGGTTTCGCCATGTCGTCCAGACTGGTCTCAAACTCCTGGGCTCACGCCATCTGCCTGCCCCATCCTCCCAGAGTGCTGGCATTATAGCTGTGAACCACTGCGCTCAGCCTACACAATCTGTATTCTTAACACGTGATTTCTGATATTAGCAGGAACTAATGACAGAGGACAAAAAGTTGTATGTGGCACCTGACAAATGAGGGTGTGGCAATGACTTGACAAGACGACCATGAGGACTGACTCAGATCATTCAAATTAAGCCCATGGCTTGGCACATCCGAGGCAACCAATCCATGTTAGCTGCTTTTTGTTTTTGTTTTTGTTTTTTTAAAATTTCTTATTTCCATAGGTTATTGGGGAACAGGTGGTGTTAGTTACATGAGTAAGTTCTGCACCGGTGGTTTGTGAGATTTTGTTGCACCTATCACCCAAGCAGTATACACTGCACCCAATTTGTAGTCTTTTATCCTTCACCTACTTCCCACCCTTTCCCCGAGTCCCCAAAGTCCATTGTGTCATTCTTTTTTTTTTTCTTTGAGACGGAGTCTCGCTCTGTCGCCCAGGCTGGAGTGCAGTGGCGCGATCTCAGCTCACCGCAAGCTCCGCCTCCCGGGTTCACGCCATTCCCCTGCCTCAGCCTCCCCAGCAGCTGGGACTACAGGCGCCCGCCACCAAGCCTGGCTAATTTTTTTGTATTTTTAGTAGAGACAGGGTTTCACCGTGTTAGCCAGGATGGTCTCAATTTCCTGACCTCGTGATCTGCCCGCCTCGGCCTCCGAAGTGCTGGGATTACAGGCGTGAGCCACCGCGCCCGGCCCGTTGTGTCATTCTTACGCCTGTGCATCCTCATAGCTTAGCTCCCACTTGTGAGTGAGAATATACAGTGTTTGGTTTTCCATTCCAGAGTTACTTCACTTAGAATAATAGTCTCCAATCTCATCCAGATCGCTGAGAATGCCATTAATTCATTCCTTTTTATGGCTAAGCAATATTCCATCCTATGTATATACCACAATCTCTTTATCCACTCATTGATTGATGGGCATTTGGGTTGGTTCCGCATTTTTGCAATTGCAAATTGTGCTGCTATAAACATGCGTGTGCAAGTGTATTTTTCATATAATGACTTCTGTTTTTATTATCACGAGAAAGAATGTGATCACTCCAGGTCACACCCAGAGGCAGGATGTGGCTGTGATGTGCCACTCAGCACAGCAGTCCCCTTCTCTAAACAGCACTCGGCCCCAGCCCTGGAGGGAAACTTCTGTCCCACCCGGGTTTCCATCTCACTCCCAGAACCATGGCTGTGTGTGAGTGGCAGCCCCCTGCACATCTCCAGTCTCTTCTCAACGGGGACTTTTGTTTTTCCAAGTGCCTTTTACATATGACTTCTTTATCACGTTACCCTCCCAAACCAGGGTTAATGGCAGGGCCTGCGGCTTCTATTAGGTTAGTGCAAAAGTAATTGCGGGTTTGCCATTACTTTTAATTACAGCAAAAACCGCCATTGCTTTTGCACCAACTTAATATAATTGGGGGTGGGGGAGACTTAAAAGGAAAATCATTAAAAATTATACAAACTTACACTTTGGGAGGCCAAGACAGGCAGATCACCTGAGGTCAGGAGTTCGAGACCAGCTTGGCCAACATGGTGAAACCCTGTCTCTACTAAAAATACAAAAAAAATTAGCCAGGTACGATGGCGGGCACCTGTAATCCCAGCTACTGAGGAGGCTGAGGCAGGAGAATCGCTTGAACCCGGGAGGTCGGGAGTTCGAGAGGTCGCAGTGAGCCAAGATGGCACCACTGCACTCCAATCTGGGCAACAAGAGTGAAACTCTGTCTCAAAAAAAAAAGTTATACAAACTTACATGTGAAAGGAAAAATCACAAGTTACAAATGTAGGAAAGCCAACAACTATTAGAAACATCACAAAATTCAGAAAAGGAATGTGTGTTTATTAATTAACCTGCCAACATCCCTATTATCCTCTTCTTCCTACCTATTTTGGTTGCCTGGTCTTTGATCTCTTCTTCACAAGATAATGATTTTATAACATTTTCTACAGAGAGAGAAGAGAAAGCTAAGTCTGTCTTTCGCATGGTATGGCTGATCAAAACTTGTCCTTTCATTACTGAAAGAAAGAAAGGTTTATTTCCAATTCATAACTTGTCATTGGAAATACTGTGCAGATTTTTAGAATTATTGAAGAATTTGGGAAGACTTCTTACAGGTTTCTTTTTTATATGATCTATTGCAGAACATGCTGTTGAGAGTAAGATTACAGATATGTGCCTTCTAAACACAGGGATTGCAGGAAAATCCAATTATATTCTAGTTCCTTCAATAAAGAAAACATTATATGGTGCTTTTGTAATTGTGTGTCCTATATATGAAATATACTCCTGACAGTGGGAACACTGCCACCTGTGTCCAGGAGGTATGAGAATGGAACTCTCTACTTATTATCTTATCAGTCTGAGGATTGGGAGATTCCTCCACAGATGGGTTTCTGGCTGTTGGCATTTTAAACCTTCTTTCTCTTCTGCTAGCCACATACCTTCACAGCCTGGTGCCATAAGATGCAGCCATATCTTGATAAGATCTCTAGTCCTTCATGAACAAGGTGGGCGAGTCGGCATTTAAGGGTGAGGGTTCTTGCTGGAAGCCATTTCTAGGCTGGTGCAGCTCACCGTAACTTGATTACAGATGGCAATGTCTGTGGACCTCAAATATATTCCTCTCTCCCAAACTGAATATATCCTGACCATTCTTCTCCTTAGCTGAATTCAAAAAAAAAAAAAAAATGCCCAGTGGTCATTCCAATGTTACCTGAGCAAAAGAGGAAATTTAACAGAGGGGAAATCAACATAGGAAGAGGCATTAGTTGGCCAGGCGCAGTGGCTCACGCCTGTAATCCCAGCACTTTGGGAGGCAGAGGCGGGCAGGTCATGAGGTCAAGAGATCGAGACCATCCTGGCCAACATGGTGAAACCCCATCTCTACTAAAAATACAAAAATCAGCTGGCTGTGATGGGCACCTGTAGGCCCAGCTACCCAGGAGGCTGAGGCAGGAGAATCGCTTGAACCCAGGAGGTGGAGGTTGCAGGGAGGCAGAGGTTGCAGTGAGCTGAGATCGCGCCATTGCACTCCAGCCTGGTGACAGAGCGAAACTCTGTCTCAAAAAAAAAAAAAAAACAAAAGAAGAGGCATTAGTTGTAACTGATGACAATTAAAATATCTCACTTTTGTAAGCAATGAATGCATGAATATCTTGCTAGGAATCATCCCAGAGACTTGGAAGATCCCATGAAGTGAGGAACCCTGAAGTTTAAGCTTCATTGGTTTCATGACAAATCGACCTCTGTCCTCTCTATTGCCTCCCCACCCACCCCCACCCTGCCTCCAGCTCCACGCCACTCCTGGCTGTGCAGTAAAACTATAGGAAAAATAAAATAAATAAGACCAACAATCTGAATTACTGACTTACCATAAATTGCTTCTGGCCCCAAAGTTGTAAAACACATATGTATGGCATATGTAAACCTGTTTTAAATTTTTCTTTTTAAGTTAGATGTTGTTCGTTTGTTAGTGGGGAGGGGGATTGTGTTTGGTTTGGTTTTTGTTTGTTTGTTTGTTTGATGTTTTTTGTTTTGGTTTTCTTTGGTCTATTTGTAGAAACCGCGTCCGTCATCAGAGTCATCAGAGTTGTGGACTTTGTTTCTGTTTTTTTTTTTTTTCTAATGCCTGTTGACAAAGCACCAACAAGATAACACACCTGGTCCTCTCCTCTCTGGTTCTGGGTTGGCTGTGTTGAGGGTCACAGGGCACATCCCACCTTCCTCCAAGCATGAATGCCCTTGAATGTTTCATGGTTTTATAATGATCAGTGGTTCACCCATCACTGCTGCTTCTAGAAAGGAAATATGGACCAGTGGCTAGAATGAACATCCATGTGTTAGGAATTTGAGGAGAGTCCTTTTCCTAACCTGCAAAGCAGTCCTAACCTAATGCTCTAACACTGGCTGTCTGGAGACCACAGAGCCAGGCCTGCAATGACCTATAGATACTGAATTTCTCACACACTCTATAAGAAAACATGTGAGCTAATATATAAGAACACCTACCAACCTAGAATAGGGTTTGTAATTACGTAGAACGCTTTGTGTGTTTTCTTCTTTATAGAAAATATGCTTTTGAAACAGAACTTCTAGAATAATCATTTTGAAAATGCATCTCTATCAGCTGTCCACATGATTAGTTATAGTGACATCAATGATCCATTCTCCTAATAAAGGACAATTCCTCTAAAATGAGATTGGGTTTTCAATGATTCGTTTTTATCTTCACAAACAGCTCATACAACCAGTCTTGGACTGATGGATTCTACCATGACCCAACCAAACGTTTCCACATGTGGAAAGTTGGGCTTTGATTCTCAATTTGCTATTTTTGCTGTTCCCCTTTCATCATTTCGTTATGGCAATGTATGTTTTAAAGAGCGATGCCCTGCATATTATTTAGTGCCTACATATGGTGTGGGCTTGGCCTTTTCTCTGATTATCTACAACATATGTGGTTGAAAAAAAAAAAAAAAAAAAAAGAGGCTTGCACCAAGGAAGAACAATTAGTAAATTCATTAAATTTCTCTGTCAAGTCTGCACATTTGTTTGTTTTAGTTTTTTTCAGGCATTCATTAAGGCTGTAGGTGCCTGTCAGTAAAGGAAGATGTGTTTGCATTTCTACTGGTGTGCTTCCATTTCACTCACCCTGTCGTTTGCAACAGTACTTTCTTAAATTGACACGGAAACATATTTTTGCAATAGGATGGAAAGCAAAACTCTCACTTCTTACATTTTCAAATTGTTCTTCCTTGATGTGGACAGTATTTGCAAACAACCTAACAGCTCAATTTTTACTTTGTTCATGAAATATTCTTGAATCTGACATGACATAAGGGATATTTTCATTCTCCTTGAAAGCACTTTTCTTTGTTTCAGTGAGTAAATAATACTTTGTTTGGAGGTTTACAATTAGCTGCCAGTTTTTGCATCAGCCACCAGTAATTTGGGTTCTGTCTCTCCCGCCATATGCTAATCTACCACCAAAGCACTGTGGGAATCAACTGAGAATTTGAGCTTTTGATCAAGAGCCAACTACCTTTGAACACTGAGGGCTTCTAAAGGTCTACTTAGATGGAGCTCAGGAATAGTAATCCCACTGGAAGGAGAACAGCCAGGGTTTTACTTAATTTGTATTTGTTTGGGAGTCTCTTGTGGTGGAGCTGGTGGAGATGATCAGGAATCGAATTGCTCTGCTATTCCCTTGAAAAAATGCATATTTCACTAAATAGAGAGTCTATTTTCTTACCATTCTCAAAAGGTTCTAGTCTTCACAAACGCTTGCCTTTTCAAAATTTCATCATGTAAGAGACAAGTTTTGACACTAAAAAAACCATATATATGCATATCTTTTTGAAATGTTCAGAGTATATTTCCAAATGCATTTTATTATTTTTGATTCTCAATACCCCTGGGGGGCAAGTACTGTCATCTTCATTTTTATAAATAATGGTATCATAACGAGGCTCAGAGAAGTTAGTGGCTGGTCTCCTCTGGGGAGAGATCTCAACAGCCACACTTTAGACATTTGTTCTGGGGCAATGATCAGCTACAGAAGAAATGGTGTATTCGGAGTAGTCTCTTTCAATAAAGTCATTTGGAAGAAGATGGCTAGTAGCAGCTGTGGAAGCCAAGTGGCTAAATTCCTCCGCTTCTCCATTAATTAAATGAAGATTCATTCATTCATTCATTCATTCATTCATTCATTCATTCGTGTGTTTTTGTTCATTTATCTAACAAATAACTAATGAACACCCTCTATGTACCAGACATTGAGCAAAGTTCTGGAGGTAGAATGGTAAATTCATTCATTCATTCATTCATGTCTTTGTTCATTCATCTAACAAATAATTAATGAACACCCTCTATGTGCTAGACATTGAGCTAAGTCCTGGAGATGAAATGGTAAACAAAAAAAATATGATTCCATATTCTTATAAAGGTGGAAATCTAACATCATTTACTCAGCAGCATTAATATAATGATTAGACAAATTCAAGTCAAATTAAAATTGGAGGTCAATGCTTTGAGGACAAGGCACCTGGTAACCTAAGAGGGACCTTGCCTTTTCTGTGATGTTGAAGAAAGCTACTTGAGGAGGCACTATTTGGTCAGAGGTCTTAAAGATAAGTAGGAATTAACTAGGCTGAGGTGGTGGGAGGTGAATGGGCAGAAGTCACATTTGGTATCAAACCAAAGTTGCTATGGCAGATGGGAGGACAAGAGCTCTGAACCATCAGGTGGCCTTATTTAATAAGCATCGTGTGTTTAAAATCATTTACAATGATGTTGCCTATACAGCTTGGCCACTGGCCCTCTCTACTAAGCACTGTCATACCCACCACTGGCCCTTTTGAAAACCAGCTGGCCTATTTTGGAAGCCTCACCGCCCAGCCTCAGATGGAAATTTTCTTCATTCTCAAGGGTATGAGCTCATCACCACACCAGATGGGTTTCCAGTGAATGATTGTCCTGCAGTCTGATTATTTTCATGTCGTGTTAACTCCCTTTGAAAAATGGAAAGAGGATATGGGGTTGTCTTTCTCATCTTTGTAAGTTGGCGGAGAATTTCCTAGTTGTGGCCACATCCTCTACAGATTGAGAGAGAGCATACCGTTTGGAAGGAGAGATAAATTCTGGCTAAGGGTCCACTTACAGTCATGTTTTAACTGTGCTCAATCCATTTTTATTATAGGGGTCATCAATTAAGGTAACTTTAGCTTCTGCAGTGGATAACTTGGAAATTTCAGTGATTTAACACAAGAGAAATCTATTTCTAACTCATAAAAAGTTAAACATGCTCTGGTAGGTACACAGCCTTCCATAGGATCATTCGATGTCATCTTGTGACTCTGCCCTGCCCTCCTCTGGGTTCAGTGTCCCCTTCACTTAAAAAAAAGGAGGGCAGAGAATGGAAGAGCTCTGGTGAGAGATTTTTATGGGTCAGACCAAGAAGTGGGGCTCCTCTTCTTCTCATTGGCCAGAACTTGGTCACATGACCACACACCCAACTACCACACAGACTGGGAAGTGCAGGTAGGTGGGCTGCCGGTCAACCCATCCCAGACAGTCAGCTTAGCATGGCGTTAGGAGCATGTGCCCTGAAGTCCATGAATTATATATAAGTCCTTACTCCAAGAGGGTAAGTCTGAGGACAAATCGCTTCCCCTTCGGAGTCCAAATCCTCTCATCTATAAAATGGCAATAGCCTTATTTGCCACATAGTGTTATCCTCAGGAATGAATGAGACTATATATATAAAGTACTTAGACCAAACCTGAGAAATAGTACATGTCCAATCAATGTTCAGTCACAGTTATCAATTTACTCCCTGGCTACAAAATCAAAGCAAATCTCGAGATGCCTGAGCTTTCTGTGTCACCTGAGAAATGATGAATAGAGAACAATATTCCTTAACGTCTCAAAAAATTAAAGCGTCTGTTTCCAAAATAAGTGTACGATTGTTACTATTATCATAACTGTGGTGAGTTTCCTTTCAGTTTCCAGGGGAAATTCAATGAAGGCTTTTGACAAACAATTTTGTCAGGAAACAAGCTGCCGCCAAAGATTCCAGGCAGGCAATTGTTGGTGTCTTGGGTAGCAGGTACTTCCTGGGGCTCACAGCAGAGTGAAGTTCACAGAGATAGTGGTTCCTAGAAATCTAAACAGCCCTGTATTCTCTCTTCCCTCTGATCCCGGATCCAAAGGCGGGGGCTGCCCCTCCTACACCATGAGGCTTTGTTTATGCTTCCCAAGGCAAGCATTTTGTGATTTGCCTGTTCTGGGGCAGCCACGGTGCCTTTTCCACGGCATCTACTGGTCTGGGCCAAATAACCTGCGGTTCGTGTTCTCTCTTGGCCAAATAGAGAGCACGAGGATGCCCCCAAGCATTTTCAGAGCGAGGGGAAGTGCCTGTTGATACTCAGCCCTGGGGGGCAAATTGCAGCTGACCCCGTGTTGCAGGGCTCTGATCCAGGAATGGCAGTAGAAGGGCAGCAAGTGCCAGCTCTCACAGTGCTCCCGGGTAGAAACTGAGCACATGCATGAGCTTGGAGTGGCCTCATTTTCACGACTGTGTTATATCTGGTTTGCCTCCCAAGCTCATGAAGCGGGTAAACCCATGAAACAACGAGCTCAGCTGTCATGACACAACCTGGCCATTGTCTAAAACACCCTCCTCTAAAAGGTCTTTGAAGAATAATGAACCTGTCACCTGATGATTACAAATCTAAAAAAAAAAATCACTCACAGCTTTTTTTTTTTTTTTTTTTTTTTTTTTTATGAAACAGTCTTGCTCTGTCACCCGGAGGGGAGTGCAGTGGCACAATCTCAGCTCACTGCAACCTCTGCCTCCCGGGTTCAAACAATTCTTCTCTCTCAGCCTCCCAAGTAGCTGGGGCCAAAGGCACGCGCCACCACGCCTGGCTAATTTTTATATTTTTAGTAGAGATAGGGTTTCACCATATTGGTCAGGCTGGTCTCAAACTCCTGACCTCATGATCTGCCTGCCTTGGCCTCCCAAAGTGCTGAGATTACAAGGTGTGACCCTCCGCACCTAGCCCACTCACAGCTTTTGAATATGGATAGACATTCTCTGATGATCATTGTTGCAGGGAGAGGGGACTTTTACTGAGAAGGGATTCTCATACTTGCAAGTGCCCATTGCTGAGAATCCCAGCCAAGGCTGTCCAATAAAATTCCCATATTTAAGCCATTTCATAGAATAAAATACTCAGAGTGCTGGGGAAAATTGTTAACTTAGTCCAATGTAATCCCTTCTCTTCCATCAAGACTACATCTCAACCATCCAAAGAAACTAGATTGGTTATAATTGTCTAGACTGGTTATAATTGTAAAAAGCAGAATAGCCTGGGCACGGTGGCTCGTGCCTGTAATCCCAGCACTTTGGGAGGCCGAGGCAGGTGGATCACCTGAGGTCAGGAATTCGAGACCAGCCTGACCAACATGGAGAAACCCTATCTCTACTAAAAATATAAAATTAGCCAGGCGTGGGGGTGCATGCCTGTAATCCCAGCTCCTCGGGAGGCTGAGGCAGGAGAATCGCTTAAACCTGGGAGGCGGAGGTTGCCGTGAGCCGAGATCATGCCATTGCACTCCAGCCTGGGCAAGAAGAGCGGGGAAAAAAAAAAAGAAAGAAAGAAAGACACTGGTCGGGTGCGGTGGCTCACGCCTGTAATCCCAGCAGTTTGGGAGGCCGAGGCGGGCGGATCACAAGGTCAAGAGATCAAGACCATCCTGGCTAACACGGTGAAACCCCGTCTCTACTAAAAATACAAAAAATTAGCCAGGCATGGTGGCGGGCACCTGTGGTCCCAGCTACTCAGGAGGCTGAGGCAGGAGAATGGCGTGAACCCGGGAGGCGGAGCTTGCAGTGAGCCGAGATCGCGCCACTGCACTCCAGCCTGGGCGACGAGCGAGACTCCGTCTCCAAAAAAAAAAAAAAAAAAAACAATGGTCATGGCTGTTGTTCACGCGACTGTTTTACATTCCAATCACGCAATCTTTAATGAGTTAGAAGCCAGTTGGTGTGCTGATAACGAGAAAGAAACACAAAAGGATAGGAGACAGTCTTTGCTGCACCTTTCAGAATAGCTAGGTAAATCACTCGCCTAAGTAGGAAAGAGATAACTAGCAATGTACTGCAGTAGCGTATGGGGCCAGGTGAGAAATCCCGACAAGAAATACCACTGGATTTCAGAGGAAGAAGCAAGCTGTGCCGAGAGCAGGATCTAGGGAGGAAGTTGAAGAACAGGCAGGGTTTACATAGGCTCTTAGAGAGGGGAGGGTTTTCAAAAAAAGAAAAAAGGCAAGCAAAGGGAAAGGTGTGGGGAAAGAGCGGTGGGTTCCTAGTCGCCGTATGTAATCAACTTTGTAAGTGGCTTACAGTACAGAGAGAAAGAAAAGGAGTGAGTGAGCGAGTTTTAGGGGCCAGAAAGATACAAGGACACAATAAAGAATAAATGGAATGGAAAACTGAAAATGCAAAAAGGGCTAGCCATTTGTTCAACCCAATGAATTCACATTGCTCGCAGAAATAACACCAAAGATTCCCAGTTGCCAGCTAGATTCTAAATCTTGAGACACTGTGCTTTCTCTAGCGAAGGAGGATTTTTACTCTTCCTCCTTTTTCTCTGGACTCTGTTTATGATAAAGTGCTAATCAAAAAGGAGGGGTATGGCTGAGCGTGGTGGCTCACGTCTATAATCCCAGCACTTTGGGAGGCTGAGGCGGGTGGATCACCTAAGGTCAGAAGTTTGAGACCAGCCTGGTCAACATGGTGAAACCCTGTCTCTACTAAAAATACAAAAAATTAGCCGGGCATGGTGGTGCATGCCTGTAGTCCCAGCTAGACGGGAGGCTGAGGCAAGAGACTTGTTTGAACCCGGGAGGCAGAGATTGCAGTAAGCCCAGATTGCACCACTGCACTCCAGTCTGGGCAGCAAGAGCGAAACTCTGTCTCACAAAAAACAAAAAGGAAGGGTTAGATGCAGAAACATAAACACTGGCACACTGTAACCTCCCTAAGGTCTCTGCCTGTTTGTTGAAAGTTTCAGCTTCAAGGCCGGCTTTGCCTTTCCACACATAGCTCTGCGGAGTCGGAGCCATCCACTAGAAGGCGGGCTGATCTTGTTCTTCATAAACTGTTTGGGTTTCCCCGTGGTTCAGAGCCACTGACGCCTTTCACGACTTTCTAAGCCAATTATTTAGCAAGAATGTTCTGGACAAGCAGACACCCAGTTCTCAGGCCTTGAGAAAGTGCCCAGTGTGGGGGCTGGAGGGAGGATCAGAACAAATGTGGAACTTATTGTGAATCTCAGTTTTCAAAAATGCTCAACGTCTACACTTTCCCCCTTCCCAGGATTTTGCTAAGGGCCAACACCAGGGAGTAGCCCATTTGTTTTGTTTTGTCATCCAACCTCTTGCTGTTTTATGAAATCTTAATGCTGCTGGAAAATTCAAGTCGATTCATTTGAATCTTAGTACTCACTGCTTAATTGTCTAGTAAACTAACAGTTTTCTCTGCCGCTCAGAAAAATACACAGCCATACATCCACAATTATTTTCTTTTCCCTTTGCTAGAAATTTTAGATTAGCATCATGGCGTACACAAGATGAGCCTTGGTGACTTCAGTGTCAGACTGACACAGGTCCATACTCCAACTCCACCATTTACCCGTGCATGGACTTGGCAAGCAACTTTGTTGTCCTGAGCCTCAGTTTTGTCTTCTGTTAAACGGGGTCAAAATCAGTTTCTTCTAGAGATAAAGAACCTACATAAGGCTGGACATAGTGGCTCATGCCTGTAATCCCAGCACTTTGGGAGGCCAAGGCAGGCTGATCACTTGAGGTCAGGAGTTCAAGACCAGCCTGGCCCACATGGCGAAACCCCATCTCTACTAAAAGTACAAAATTAGCCGGGTGTGGTGGCTCATGCCTGCAGTCCCAGCTACCCAGGAGGCGGAGGCACGAGAATCACTTCAACCTGGGAGGCAGAGTTTGCAGTGAGCCAAGAGTGTGCCACTGCACTCCAGCCTGGGTGACAGAGTGAGACTCTGTCTAAAAAAACAAAAGAAAAAAAGAAAAAAAAGAATTCTACCTAAATCACTTAGCACACTGTATAGCACAAACAAGGTGCTCCGTAAATGGTAGTATTTCATTATTAGTATTTTACTCAGTATTGAAGTACTCCTGGGAATCTGCCTTTCTAGGAAGATCCCTTTGCAACAACTGTAGAGATGAATTTGAAAGGGTGTAAAATAAAAGCCACCTGGGTGTTTTTCACATGCATAACCGATTTCAAGCCAAGAATGGGAGAAACTGGAAAATACCGGAATATTCCTCATACATACTGCTTTATGTATTCTAATAATGTCTTTCCCTTTCTCTCAGCATTGACTACTCACAGCCCCACCTTCCTTTTCATTGTGCTTTTCTGGAAGGCTGGTTATCTCCACATATGGAACACAGTTTCTCTTTAGGGCCTTTAATACGCTAGAAATTCCAAAACAAAGTAGACCCCGGCAGGGCACTGGCTCCACGTTGGCAAATAAGCTTGCCATCAGGCGCCACTTCTGGTATTACAATGTGTTTTTCATTAAGGAGGGAACTGTAGCCCCAGACTTCAAGGGTTGGTTTCTAGCCATATGCAAAGGCCTGAGGACTAGTACTGCAGCTCATCTGCAGAAAAGAAATGCCCAGGGCCAGAGGGAATCTCCTCCACCCTGCTGTATTGGTAGTCCATGTAGCCACCAGATACTTCAGTGACTTGGATTAGGAGTACGATGGATCACCCATCATCAAATGGCATTTAAGAGCAGAATTAGGCCAAGCATAGTGGCTAACACCTGTAATCCCAACACTTTGGAAGGCTGAGGCAGGGAGAACACTTTAGGTCAGGAGTTCGAGACCAGCCTGGCCAACATGGCGAAACCCCGTCTCCACTAAAAATACAAAAATTAGCTGGACGTGGTGGTGAGCGCCTGTAGTCCCAGCTACTCTGGAGGCTGAGGTGCAAGAATCGCTTGAACCCGGAAGGCAGAGGCTACAGTGAGCTGAGATTGAGCCACTGCACTCCAGCCTGGGTGACAGAGTGATACTCCGTCTCAAAAAAAAAAAAAGCAGAATTATTAACATGGGGTTGGAAGAGTTGGAAGACTACCTTACCATAGACAATTGAATATGAGGTATGCTTTGTTAGTAGTCTGTGACATTTGAAAAACTGGCCCTAAGAAAGAAAATTGTGTCCATGGCTAAAAGAATTGAAGTGAATGGCTTTTATTAGAAGAAAATCCATATTGCTTTTAAAGATAATGTGCCGATAATTTCTAGCCCACTTACAATCTAATGCATCGCAAGTTAAAAGTGTAACATGAGAGAGGGGTTTGAGAGAAGACCCTGCACCAAACACCAGCACTCTGAAAGGGTTTGGTACGGGGTTTTGAACCCAAGCCAGTGGATCTGAGATGAACTGCAGGTGCTGCCTTGGCAGGGCTGTGATGATGACCCCAATAACTCACACAGGCTGCCAGCCACAGAGCATAGGGCACTGCTGCCATGCATGGATGGTGACACCAGGGTCTGCAGGGCCCTGATGGTGCTGGAAGGGGAATTTCTCCTCTCAATTCCCCTTCCCATGACTTGAGCCCCTGGAGCCACTGATTGGATTTGGCTGTGTCCCCACCCAAATCTCATCTTGAATTGTAGCTCCCACAATTCCCATGTGTCATGAGAGAGACCCGGTGGGAGGTTATTGAATCATGGGGGCGGATCTTTCCCGTGCTGTTCTCATGATAGTGGATAAGTTTCAGGAGATCTGATGGTTTTGTAAACGTGTGAGTTCCCCCGCACACGCTCTCTCTTGCCTGCTGCCATGTAAGACATGCCTTTTGCCTTCCACCATGATTGTGAGGCCTCCCCAGCCATGTGAAACCGTGAGTCCATTAAACCACTTTTTCTTTATAAATTACTCAGTCTCAGGTGTGTCTTTATCAGCAGTGTGAGAACAGACTAATATAGCCACCGAGTGCAATAGGAAACTGATTAGAAAGAGGGACTCTCCTTTTGTTTATTTCTTTACCAACACAACCCAACCTGCGGAGAAGCAGCAAAGGCTAAATGGAGCAGTGAACACTGTGCAGGCTTTGGTCTGTTTCTGCCCTGATGTCCTAGCACAGGGCTGGATCCTGGTTTTTGCTTGTGATTTGTTTTTGTAGAGAAGGGATAAGTACCGGCTGCTGCCCTATGGTGATTCTTTGTAAAGTGAGCTTCCAGTATGATGATGATGATGCTGAGTTCTTAAACTTTAAAAAAGGTAAAAATAATTGATACTGCAAGAGTTATGACAATATGCAGTTGTCTACCCTTATCCTTGAGGGGGTCCCTTCCAAGAGCCTCAGTGGGTGCCTGAAACCTCGAATAGTACCAAACCCTATATACACTATATATACATTACTTTGGATAAAGTTTCATTTATAAATTAGGCATAGTAAGAGATTAACCACTATAACTAATAAATTCAACAATTCTAACAATATGCCAGATTCGTTGCTCTTGTGCTTGAGGCTATTAAGTAAAATAAGAGTGACTTGAATATAAGTACTATGACCTCAAGACAGTCGATCTGGGAACCAAGATGGCTACTAGGTGACTAGTGGGTGAGTAATGTGGACAGCAGGAGCTAGACAAAGGGAGGGTCCATGTCCCAGGCGGGATGGAGTGGGAAGGTGTGAGATATCTTCACACTATTCAGAATGACATGCAATTTAAAACTTATGAATTCTTATTTCTGGAATTTCCCATTGACCATCTTTGGACTTCGGTTGACCCATGGTTAACTAAAGCCTTGGAAAGCAAAACTCTAGATAATGGGGGACTATGGTATGTAGTTATCACTTTCTTGGGGGCATCGTGCCATAGCTCCCTTTAGAATAAAAAGGGAAATGTAGATGTTATGGGAAAATGTTCACAAGCTAAGGGTAGATGAGAACAAAAACAGGACACAAAATTGTTCCTGCAAAGCAACCTGAGTTTCACAAGGGGAAGAGCATCTATATGGAAGAGCCTGGGAGGAAAACGGCATTATCATAAAAGCAGGGGCCTTTGAGTACTTCCCATATGGGCTACAGGTTCTGGAGATAATTTAGTCCTCACATCAGCTGGTGTAAGGTAATAGCTATGACCACCATCCTCATCCTACAGAAGAGAACTACTGAGCGTTAAAGTTTACATAATTTGGGCCGGGCAGGGTGGCTCACACCTGTAATCCCAGCATGTTAGGAGGCTGAGGCGGGTGGATCATCTGAGGTCAGGAGTTTATAGACCAGTCTGGACAACATGGCGAAACCCCTTCTCTACTAAAAATACGAAAAAAAATTAGCCGACATGGTGGTGGGCACCATGGTCCCAGCTACTCGGGAGGCTGAGGCAGGAGAATCACTTGAACCTGGAAGGCAGAGGCTGCAGTGAGCTGAGATCATGCTACTGCACTCCAGCCTGGTTGACAGAGTGAGACTCCATCTCAAAAAATAAAAAATTAAAATTAAAAAATAAAGTTTACATAATTTGCAACTACCTCTCAGTAAGAAGAGACAGAGCCAGATTTGAACCATCATGCTTCTAGAATTTCTGCTCTTTGACATATAGCAGTTATTTTGGGGTAGGAATTACAGGTACATTTTAAATTCCTTTCACTTTTTGGTGTCTTCTTTTTTTGTTGTTGTTTTCTTTTTTAGAGACAGGGTCTCGCTCTGTCACCTGGGCTGGAATGTAGTGGTGCCATCTTAGCTCACTGCAGCCTCCAACTCCTGGGCTCAAGTGATCCTCCATCCTCAGCCTCCCAAGCAACTGGGACTACAGGTGTGTGCCACCACACCTGGCTCCTTTTTAAAAATTTTTTTGTAGAGATAGGGTCTTGCTGTGTATCCCAAGCTAATCTTGAACTCCTGGCCTCAAACAGTTGTCCTGCCTCAGCCTCCCCAAGTGCTGAGATTACAGACATGAGCCACCACGCCCAGGCAGCCACTCCATTTAAAAAATAATAATAATAAAAATAAAAAGCATATATTACTTGAAAAATCAGAAAAAAGAGTATAAAAAGAAAAAAAAACATACATCATGGGGAAAGTCATACTTCCTTCATCTTGGAGATTTTAAATTAAACTGGATTTAATTGGCTCTGAAACAAGCCCCTTCCCAATGTAAGATGAATATCTTAAAGAACTTCTTAAGAACTCCAAAACTTGAAAAAGCAAAGAGAACAGATATTTGCCCCAACCACTTCTCTGTAAAATTTTAGATTGTTTATTATTATTATTATTATTATTATTATTATTATTATTATTTGAGACAGAGTCTCACTCTGTAGCCCAGGCTGCAGTGCAGTGATGCAGTCTCAGCTCACTGCAAACTCTGACTCCTGGGTTCAAGGGATTCTCCTGCCTCAGCCGCCCAAGTAGCTGGGATTCCAGGCGCCCGCCACCACGCCTGGCTAATTTTTGTATTTTTAGTAGAGACGGGGTTTCACCATGTTGGCCAGGCTCGTCTTGAACTACTGACCTCAGGTGATTCACCCACCTCAGCCTCCCAAAGGGCAGGGATTACAGGCATGAGCCACCACGCCCAGCCAAAATTTTAGATTGTGATACCTGATCACCTTAACATTTGTCCTGTCGATCAGCACAACTCCCCGAAATGTGGCTGGTTGGATCCCTTCATCTGTACTCTCCAGCCCTTCTACTCCACCTCTTTCAGCAGCTTTCTCTTTCAACTTTCCCCACTTCTTTCATCTTCAATATCTCCCTCTGTAGTTTTCCTTTGAGTCTGCATTCAAACTTAGATCTTCCCATCAATCTTAGAAAATACGTTCTCTCAAGCCTGCTACGATCCCAAGATGGCGCACTACCTCTCTCCTTCCTTCCCTACTAGCCATCAGGTGCAACTCACTCTTCCTGGCGCCCCGCATCCTCACCAACCACTCCATATGCCCTCATAACCTTGACCTCTGCTCCTGCTGTCCCTCCTTCCCCGAAGGATCACCAATGGCCATTCGGTTGTCACACCCACTGCCATTTCCCCATCTGCCTCAATGTTTCTGTAGCTCCTTCTGTGGAAGCACCCAGCACCCTTGGCTTCTCTCTCCCGGCCCTAGCCTGCCCTTCTTCCTCCTTCTCTGAGCCTTCTCATTGCTAGTTTCTCTTGCTCCTCATCCCACCTAAATGAATAAACCCAAAGAGGAATTCTCAGTCTTGTCCTTTTCTCTCTCTCTACTCCCTTCGAATCTCAGTATTTTTTGAGCAGCATTATGTTCTTGTCTTAGCTTATCTGTGACTCTCAAATATAAGGGAAGCTTCCATTCTCCATGGCAAGAGAGAAGATAAGTAAACAAATAAGCAGGATAAGGTCATCGGGGAGGACTTCCTGACATGATGACATCTGAGCTGAAACCCAAATGAGGAAAAAGAATGAGCCAAGCAAAATTCTCAGGAAAGGACACAGGGAAAAGGGAAGCGGGCGTGCAAATGTCCTGAGGCAGAAACGAATGTGGCACATGGTGGGAAGAGAGGGAAGACAGTGTGGCTAGAGTATAGTGAGTAAAGGGGAGGGTGGAAGAGAGAGAGGCTGGAAAGGCAGATTCCTCCAGGAAATCTTAAGTCCCCACCTCACTTGCTCCTTCTGTTATCCTACCTGGTCCATTCTGCCTTGTCATGGCATTTTTTTACAATTATTTACATCATGTCTTCTATCTCCTACCCTACCATAGGCACCTCTAGTGGGAAGATCAGGTCTTACTTGTTTTTCTGTCCCCTCCAGCGCTAGATCAACACAGTGTTAAATTAGTTGAATTTCAGTGGAGGAGATAAGACAGAAATGAAATCTGTGAAGATTCAGACTTTCCCAAGTTAAAACCAGTCTTGAGTTACAGATCAAGATGATGCCAGAAATAACATCACACTGAAACATCAGTCAAATGTAGTCATCATGGCAAAGGCCAAATGTCCCTTTCTTTTTTTGCCTCCGCCTGCCT
Organism: Homo sapiens; assembly: GCF_000001405.40. Taxonomy (NCBI): domain Eukaryota; kingdom Metazoa; phylum Chordata; class Mammalia; order Primates; family Hominidae; genus Homo; species Homo sapiens. The sequence continues at coordinate 13,950,208 of NC_000010.11, read as the reverse complement.
GGGAATTTAGCATCCCCTAAAGCCACTCATCTGGGACAGGATTTTAGGGTGTGTACATGTTTTTCATCTCCACAGGACCAGCTGTGTGTGGAGGAGAATTCCTAACATGGGCTAAGGTCAGACCAAATTAACCCCAAAGACTCCTTCCCCAGCAAAGAGTTGTGAAGTAAGTCAGTAATGTGGCTAATGAAAGAAATATTTTCTGAGATGTTGTGATCTGTCATAAGAAGTGTTGATTCTTGATGACATGGAAAATGACTAACATCTTATTTCATGCATTCCAAAGAGAAAAACCCACAGATGTGAGTGCTGCTTTCCATACCCCAGTGCTTCTGAAACAAGACGCTGAGAAATCTCCATGGTTTAGGGTGCAGCTTGAGCCTTGTCAGAAAACCTAGGCTCCAGTATCAACTCGGTAGCATTTATTAACTGTGTGACTTGGGATGTCCCTTACACACTCTGGCTCTTAGTGCCCTCGTCTATAAAATAAGGATTTATAAAATCTATCTAATAGTACTGATGTGAAGACTAAAAATTTGTGGAATTGCTTTGTAAGTCATAAAGGGTCTTACAAAATACAAGTAATCTCAGGCTTTTGAAAAGTCTTGGCAATATCAATTCTGGTCTTCCATATGTGGAGCTACAAGAACAAAATATTCCCAGAGTTCTTTTTGATTAAGTATGGGCCTAGATGTGAGTTTTTAAGACCCATGATGTATTTCCCAAATCTGGAAGATGAATACTAAAAGAAAACTCAACTTGAAGTCATGTATAAATTCCTGTGTGAACTAAACTTCGTGTAAGTAATCAAAGCT